>NC_000013.11:81312078-81464918 GCF_000001405.40 Homo sapiens
CTCCATAGTGTTTTACCTTTTCCAAGATGTTGTATTATTGGAATACTTTAATAAGTGAAAGAAGCCAATCATTAGTAAGTGAAAGAAGCCAATCTGAAAAAGCGGATACATTATGCAGCTTTTTCAGATTGGCTTCTTTCAGTTACTAATATGTATTTATGTTTCCTCCATGTATTTTTATGGCTTGATAGCTCATTTCTTTTAGTGCTGAATAGCATTTCATTATCTGTATGTGCCACAGTTTATTTATTAATTAATCTAATTAAGGGCATATTCGCTACTTCCTGGTTTGGGCAATTATGAATAAAGCTGCTTTCATATAAGCATCATTATGTGGGTTTTTGTGTGAACAGAAGTTTTTGACTCCTTTGGGTAAAGACCAAGGGGTGTAGTTGCAGGATTATATAGTAAAAGTATGTTTAGTTTTGTAAGAAACTGCCAAACTATTTTCCAAAGTGGTTGTACCATTTTTCATTCCCACTAGCAATTACTGAGTTTCTGTTGTTCCACATTCTTGTCAGCATTTTGTGATGTTAAAGTTTTTCATTTTGGCCATTGTAGAAGGGGTGGATTGGTATCTCATTGCTGCTTCCATTTGCATTTCTCTGATTACATATGATGTTGAGCATATTTTCATATGCTTATTTGTCATCTGTATATCTTATTTACTGAGGTGTCAATGGTCGTAGCCCAATTTATAATCAGTTTTTTTCTTATTGTTGAGTTGTAATAGCTCTTTGTATATTTTGAATAACAGTCTTTTATCAGATATGTCTTTTGCCAACTTTAACTTTTAAATGCATTTTCTCTATATATAGTAACAATTCTCTACATCTTTGAAGACTTCTTATAATATCACTAAAATGCCTTGATGTGCCACCCAAGTTTTATGCATATTTCTTAAATTTCTAACTTCTTTATCACTGTGTCTGTGCATATTCTCCTATTTTTTGTCTAAAAAATAAATAAAAATTGATTCTCTATGTTTATTTAAGACAGCATTTTACCATTACATTTTTGAAATATTATTTATGAAATTTTTAAATTTTATGATTTAATTTTGTCAAATTTAGGGAGATAGATTTTTTTGAACAAGCTATCATGCCACAACTAAATATTTTATAACAGCCTTTTCTAAATGAGAAAACATAAATAAAAGTACATAATTAGTGACAAAACATTTTTTCCATATGAGCATTCTTTCAAGGATAATGATTTAGATATGTCTGAATATATGAAATATTAGTATTTATTTTGATTATAATAACTCACAAAATTTCAGGTTACAAAAGGTGCACAAGGAAACTTGAGAACATAATGCACATATTATAGTTCTGGTTATGGTTTGGTATATATATGCGTATATTGAAGCCTATCAAATTGTGTACTTTGAGTATATGTAGTTTATTTGCTAATAGTAAGTACGTTAACAAATTTATTAAAAAGTCAATGACCAGTACATTTAAAATACATGAATATTCCTGCATCAAAATTTTAACTCAGTAAAATCCAATAAAAATGTTGACGCAAATAAGATCTTGAGCTTTTATTTCCATTTATCATTTTTAGCCCTCATCCATTCGGGTATATGTCATGATAATAATGTGCAATCAAAAGTGACTTCAGATTTGAAGAGCGATACTCTGTATGTGCAGGTATTAAATATAATGATAGATTCACATTTAATTGTAGAATGCAAGTTCACTGTGGGTACAGAAAACGAGGTCTAATATGCCAATGACACAAACTCACCTAAAAATTACTGTGAACAACCATTACAAGATTGCCTACAACTAAATTTCCACTTTTAGGAAATAAATTTTATACTTTAAATACCAGTTTAGCTTCTATAGAGACTATGTAAATCTGTTTCAACTCTGTTACAACTGCTTTCTGATATCTTCTCCTTTAAAAACACGTATATTTTTATAAATAGATATAAATTCATATACTACATATACTTATGAATAACTATCCATACAAAGAGCAATTTCTTTTAATCTCAAAGTATTGTTTTAAAGGTAGATGATATACATGTCTATTTTTTGGTCCAGTTATATATTTTCCAGTTTTGGAAACAATGCTTTGCATAAAACCCATGCAATTTCAGTAATCAGAATTTAAAATGAAAACTATATATTTTCAACAAATCTCCTTGTTTATCTGTACAAAGCAATACTGAATTCTTAATAAACATCTATGGTTTTTAATGATATAATTAATACTATTAGGAAAGAAAACATTAATGACATAAGAGAAAGTAAAGACAAGTATTCATTTTGCAATGGTGCCTATGCATATGGTGACAGCGTAGAAAGCAATGTCTGCATCAGTGTAATGCCCCCAATTTCTAAAATTTGAAATATTAAGATAATTAGTTGAATAACACTCAGAATTGTTTGACTCCAAGCAGAGGTTCCAGCCTCATTATGATACTGAAATTATTTTACCCAGTTCTTCCCCATTGGTTTTTATTCCATAGTCTGAAGCATAGAATGACTAGTCACTGAATCAGATTAGAAAACATAATGAACACTGCAGGAGCACTGTTGTACCAAGAAGCCTGACGGTCAAAGAAGAACTGCACTTGATCTTACGCACAATTAAGCACAGCACCAGACGTTAAGTACTCCAGGGTAGGTCTTCCATGTTTCACAATTTAGTTCAAGTCTGAGAAATCAGTCTGGTATTCAACTACCTATAAGTATGTATATATTATACTTTTATGTATTTATTTGTAGATACATACATGTATGTATGTACACATATATACATATATATCATACTTTTATGTAATACATATGTATTTATCATACTATTTTATGTTTCATGATGTAAACTCTGTTATATCTTAGAAATAAGACTATTGGTAACATAATAACATATTCATTTAAAAATATTTTAGTCACAGATTCTTATTCATTGCTGTCTTGATTAGCATAATACTAAGACTGCCATGTAATATGTTGATTAAATAAAATTCATATTAATAAACTGTATTCATTTACTTTTGGGAAAACATCTGAAGAACATGATTCCTTGAGCTGTATTTATCCAATGTTGTGTTTAATTAGTTGGGAGTGAAATTCAAATATGAAACATAAAATCAAAGGCTTGTTAAAAAAGGTTGTGCATGAAATTTTATGACTACTATTGTTTCTCGAAATAATATGTTAGATAATAAAATTTTAAAACAGGGAAAACTTTTTAAATTAAGTTTTGCTATGAAGCTTTAGGAAAAAATAATGTGGAGAAAATTGTAATGTAAGTGAAACATAATAGTGAAACACACCAGTGAAATTAACACTTCAATTATTAAACCTTGTACCAACCTTAAGTTCTACAAACCTATGATTGAACTCAGTGTTTCCTCACTATGACCCCTCAAAAGCTCTTGGAAGTATATCAGTTCCATTAAACTTCACTCAAGCTCCAAAACTTTAATAATCTTGCTTAAGTAACCCCTAATTCCCCACTTCAGGCTAATATTAAACTTATCTTCTCTTCTACAAATACTCTCCTAAAGGATTTCATTCAATCCCCTTATGGCTTAAAAAACATCTATACACTGATGACTCCAAAATATGTATCACCAGTCCCTATTGACTTTTTCATGAATTCCAGTTCAATATAATCTACTGAAAACATAACATTTCCACCAAGATACTTAGCTGGCATTTCAAACTATACATGTTCCAAACCAAACTTTGGTTTACTCTCCCATGCCTGCTCCCATTCTGACTTTTCTGTCTCAATTTACAAACCTATCATCCATCTTATCAACTTTTTTCACACTTCAGATTGAAGATCCCGTCTTCAATCTTACTGCCATTATCTCCAACTTATGTGCGTTATTCAACCATTTATTTTCACCTCCTTAGTTCCTAGTCACTATTATCTCTTTTGCAACAGCATATCAACCTGTCTCTAAGTTTGCATCTGATCTACTGAATTCTATTTTCCAAATAGCTATTAGAATAATTTTAAATGTTAAGTCTGAAGATCATCTTACACGGTGATCAAAATTTCCCTTTACTTTCCATCAAACTCAGAATCATATATCATACCTACATGGTTAATGAAACACTAAAGGACCTACTTTCTCTTACATCTTAGAACCCATCATCCACCATTTCCCCTCAATCGTTTCTGCTAAGCTACTAGCACCTGTTGTCACCTCCAGGGGAGGAATGTTATTGCGTGAAGGATAGCCAAAAAGCAAAGAATGTAACAATGTCTACCACCAGGACCAGTGATCCCAGCATGTAAACTCACTACGTTGTTTGCAGGTGTCAGGGTTACGAAGAGAGGCACAAATTACCCAGACATTGGATGGAACGTTTTACTCATTTAGCAAGAGACAGAGCAGGTTTAGCCTTCATAGTAAGCCTCGGTCCCCCATGGCTATTGCCTCTTCTCCACAAACTTCATGTACTGCAGGTAAAATATCTATTTCTCTCCCCATAAGAAATAGTAATAGCAGTGGGATGGGCCAGGTGCTGTATCATGCACATGTTTTACCAAAACAAAAAAGTGTACATCAAGCCCAGATCATGGAAAGACATGCCCCCAAAAGATGATACATTCAGCACAGCCTGCGAGGCCTCTTTATCTCCATGTAAGGAAATGTTTTCTCTGGGCCTGAGGCTCACTTCTATGAAACCTTGTAAAGGTTGTCAGGCCATGTGTGACTGTCAATCCCCAAAAAAACACTTTTGGCCCTGGATTGGCTACTGAAATAGCAGATAAAGTACATAAAATTTGGTAGGGCCACCTCTTGTCCCCAAATTTGTAAGGAGAGTTGTGTCCAGTGAACCCCTGAACAACACTTTATAGATGCAGTTTCCTCACAGACCCTCTGTCATTTTGAGACATCAGGGTCACTAGGAGAACCAGACCCAGGAGGATGATGAGGCCTCCCTGGCAGATAATTCTTAACCAGGAACCCCAAGTGCCTGAATTAAAGCAATTAAATAGATCACAAAATGAGCTTCACAGGTAGGAGGGGTGTACAGCTGATGATCTCCAGCCTGAGCATGGATCTCCTCCAGCTCAGTTTCTACCTTCTCTAAACTATTGATATTTACACAGCAAAGGGTGTTGGTAAAAGCACAAATGCCAACCTGTTCTGCTAGCAGACAATGAGGCCTGTTCAATTGTCCATTACCACATTGACTAGTGAGTTTATTGGGTTTTGTTGATCTTGTATGGACTAAGTAGGATTATTAGCTATTTCCACCATGATTAAGGACAGATTGTATACCATTTGTCCTACAGCTTGTACACCTATGTCTGGTATTAAAATAGGAGCAGCAAAATAAAACCAGCTGTGAGTTTGTACTACCAGGAGGACGTTATAAACCAGTCAGTGGTGGGTTAGCAAAGTGGATCCCAATTGCACCCCCTCTCAAGCCCTTTATGTAATTTTTTAACATGAACTATGGGCCCTAGGGCTCAAAGGCAATAAGATTCTTTGCCCAAGGGCAAACACTCTGTTGCCCACTAAGGTCCACAGAGAAATCCATAACCCGGAGGGGTGCAGGTGACCCCCATCAGGGATTTGTGATTATCCTGTGTAGACTCGTTATATACAGTCTCAGTTCGTTTTGCTATGTGGTAGCAGGGAAAGAAAAAAAGGCACATCCAAGCCTGAAATGCCAACATAGATCAGTAATGTGTGTTCCAGCCTAGGGATTCTTTCCTGTCATATCTTTTTTTTCTTTTTGAGATGGATTCTCGCTCTGTCGCCCAGGCTGGAGTGCAGTGGCACAATCTCGGCTCACTGCAAGCTCTGCCTCCCAGGTTCACGCCACTCTCCTGCCTCAGCCTCCGTAGTAGCTGGGACTACAGGCGCCTGTCACCACGCCTGGCTAATTTTTTTGCATTTTTAGTAGAGATGGGGTTCCACATGGTCTCTATCTCCTGACCTGGTGATCTGCCCACCTGGGCCTCCCAAAGCGCTGGAATTACAGGCGTGAGCCACCATGCCTGGCCCATATCTTAAGTCATATTAAAGCAAGGGACTCAAGAATGTGTCTGCACCTGGACGTATAGCAATGGAGTCACTTGGCATTTTAACCCAGCTTGTAGGTGATCCAAGTCCTTGTGTATCTACCAGGGCACAAAATGGATTAAGAAAGATGTTCAGCCTGGGGTGAGAAATCCAGTGTTGTTTGAACTCTCCTCCTCTCACCGTGGCTATGCTTATTTTCATTTGTGTTATAATGTCAGGCAAGGCAGTGGCTTCTGCAGGAATAAGAAGAGGAATGATTAATTCTCCCAACTTCCTTCTGAGGCCAGGGATGATCTTATCCAATAACCTGCGGTAAGGATTACCTGGATTTAGCTGACTAGGCTGTTTGTTCATATCCTGAGGCTCCAGTCTTTGTAGAGATCCACTGCCCTTGTTACTTGACCCATAGGCACCAGTCAACCAACTTAGGGAAGGAGGTCACACCCTAAACAAATTTGGCATGTTCTATAATATTTCCTATCTTTATGGGTGGGGGCGGGGGTGCTGGGAGTCCCAGGCACAACCAGAGGAACCCTAGTACCTTGATATTCTGTCCCCTCTTCCCCCTTCCCTATGGGGAATCCCACAATGGAGAGGTGCCCAAAGATAGCCTTGCCTACAGGTTTGAAAAAGGAGGCTCCTGTAGTGTTGCCATTGTGGCCTAGAACACAAACCAGCACTGCAGGGTGCATTTCAGAGTGGGGAAAACTCTTGGGTATATCACGGTTGGGATTTTGAAACAACAGCCTAATTAGGCAACTTCCTGGTCCTTCACTTCCCTCCCCAAAGTTCAACATTTTTAACATGGATTGTAGTGCCATTTTTTTTTTTAAATGCTGGAATGTAGTATTGATAGGGACTGGAGGAAGAGAAACTCTAGGCAGACAGGGGCAGGTCCCTGGCAAAGCCCCACCTTCAAGCCAAAAAACCTGAGACCATGGCCCAAAGTAAAAACTTATATTCCTGTTTTCTCTCTTGAATGTTGCGTTTTCCTAAACCACCCATGTCTCTGCCCCACCCCATCCTGTGCCTATAAAGACCCCCGACTCAGCTAGCAGAGAAAAGCAGCAGCTGGGTGTTGGGGACTATGGCTGACATCAGAGAGAGCAGCTTGACTTCAGAGGGATGGCTTGATGGCATAACTTTAGAGAAGAATCCGGCTGGAGATGGCTGCACTCCAGAGGAAGTTTACCTACCCTCCTCCCATCCCCTTTTCAGCTCTCCTTTCCACTGACAGCCACTTTCATCAGCAATAAAATCCACCACATTTAGCATCCTTCAATTCATTCATGCACCCTCATTTTTTTTTCCTGGATGAGGGACAAGAGCTTGGGATCCACGAGTGTGGATACAAAAAGCTGGCACACTGTCCTTTTGCCCTCACTGGTGGAAGGCAGCTGCCTCATGCAAAGAGGCAGAGGGCCCACTAAGCTGTTAATACTTAAGCCGTCTGTGGACAGCAGAGCTAAAAGAGTACTGTAACACACTCTTTGGCTTCATAGGTCACAGGCATACACTCTTTGATGCTGCCTTGGGGTTTGCATGGAATTTGCTCCTGCCAGCACTGAAAAGTGCTTGCCCTAGCTCCTGCATCCACTTACCTGGGTGCTCCCTCCCACGAGGGTTGGAACACAGTGGGTCCAGTGCATGGAGTTTACTCCTCCTGGCGCCAAAGCAGCCAGCTGGTTCCAGCACTTGTGCACTCCAGTCCTGCCTCATTTGCTCACGCACTCCCTCCAAAGAGGAGTTGAGAGTGGCAGGCTGAGTAAATGGGGCACCACTGTCTCAAGTCCCATGAAGGGGTCTGGGAAATATCCTGCATCAGTATTTAGTGTCCAAATGGCTTTTGTTAAAGGAGAGTATGACCCAGTTAGTTGACCTTTTGATGGCCTTTGTGTGTTCATGGTTTACACCACCCATCCAATTGCTCTACTGCCCCGTTTGCCCAGAGAGTACAAAACATTTGTCTTATGTGGTGGGACTGTGTCAGTTATTGTGTGGTTTGTGCAGTGAATGTGGTACCTTCAGTGAATTAAAATCCTTCTGGATATCTAAAAATATGGCAGAGGTGTTTTCTGAAGGTTACAACAGTGGCACTTATGTTTACATGGCACACTAGAAAGGCAGTCTCCTGTTTGGAATATGTACCATGGCAATGTATCAGAATCCATGACTGAAAACAAGGGGTCCTAAGTCGTTAATATTCCACACTCATGTGAGGCCTATGTCTTGGTTAATTTAGCCCAGTTTTCCATATTGCAAGGCCAGGGGTTACTGAAAGATATTACACAATTCTATCTTATTTTTGCCTTTTTTAAAGGGTAAATTCTCATAATCTTGTCCATTTTTGCACCTGAGGTGAATTTTTTATGTTCCACTCTGTCATAGACTTAACACCTGCCTTGCCAGAGGGGGCTAAGAGTGCATGCGGGATGTTTCTGCCCCTGGGGGAACAACAATTGTGGTGATTTGGTAAGTGCATGCTAGATCAGCTTGTGAGTTTCATTTTGTTCCCTTTTGAATGGTCCTGTGTCACAGGCACCAACATGAGTGATAAATAGTTTTGTTTTTGTTTTGTCTTGTTTGTAAGCTGCTGTCACTGTCCCTGTCCCTACACAGGGGGGCCCTTAATGTTTAATCATTTATTTGCAAGTCAGTGGACCATACAGTTAGCCTGTTTGTAATAGCCCATGAGTTTGTAAATATGTAGCAGAGTTGCTGTTGGAGTGGCCTGCAAGGCCCTCGTTACTACTGGGAGTTCCATCCATTTCATATAGTGTCCTTGTCTGGTTTCAATTCAAAGGTGGCCATCCTTTGGACAGATGGCAGCAGTGCCCTATGGGACTCCATGAGCTTTGAATTTGCAGATCTATTAATCAACTGAGCCATACCATGAGCTGGAACATCTTTGAATCAAGAGCCCCCCTTAGTTAAGGCAGGTGCAGTAACATCCCCTATGAGCTGTTTAGCTCCCTCTGGCAAGGCAGTTAGTTACTTATACCTGGAGTAGGTTGACTTCCTGGGACCCTGATCTGAATCCTTCTTGGAGGTATCATTTTTATTTAATAATGGAGCTTTGGTGAGTGTGCCCTTATTTTATTTTATTTTATTTTATTTTATTTTATTTTATTTTATTTTATTTTATTTTATTATTGTATCAGTAGGATTCATGAAAATCTGTATGAAGATAGGCATCTCAGGTTTTTTGTTTTTTGTTTTGTTTTTGAGATGTAGTCTTGCTTTGCCGCCAGGCTGGAGTGCAGTAGCGTGATCTCGGCTCACTGCAAACTCCGCCTCCCGGGTTCAAGTGATTATCCCACCTCAGCCTCCCATCCCTCTTGTAGTAGTTGGGACTACAGGCGTGCACCACCATGCCCAGCTAATTTTTGTATTTTTAGTACAGACAGGGTTTCACCATGTTGGCCAAGATGGTCTCGATCTCTTGACCTTGTGATCTGCCGGCCTTGGCCTCCCAAAGTGCTGGGTTTACAGGCGGGAGCCATCACGCCCAGCATGGCAGCTCAGGTTTTAAGATTACCTGCAATGCTGCAGTGGTCAGTTGCTTTGTTTCTATTAAAGCACAACAGCAGGTTAGGAGTTTCTGTTTGAAGGGGGGTGTATCTGGTGGATGATGCCTTGGGTACTTTGCTTGTCTAAAATTTGAGGGGCTGATGTACCCCAGTAACAATCTATTGTTGTCATAGGCTCCAATCTTCATGAGTAGTTGTCACAGAGACCTATAGCTCCATAGAATTAGTGGGCTCCATCAGCCCAATGGTAGGGCCTGTGTCACTGCATTTTGCATGGTTTCCAGAGTCTATTGTTGTTGGGGTTCCTATGTAAAGGTGGCCACCTTGCAGGTCACCTTGCATGAAGGTCAAGAGTATCCAGATGTGGTACATGTTGTCTGCAATAACTAAATAGGCCTATCAGCTGTTGAACTTCTTTCTTATTAGTAGGAGTCGCTATGGTCAGCAATTTTTGTTTGATTTAATTAGAAATAAAATTACCTTAATAATTTTATCCAACATCTCTGATTATCATCCTGAGTGGCTCTCAAGAGCTACATTTGTTGAGCATGACCCCATATTTTATTAGGGTTGATGGCCCTGCCTGTCTGTGTTCTAGTGTCTGTGACCTTACGTAGGATCTGGTTATCTTGTTTTTAAGTCAGGCCATCAATGATGATGCCATCAGCATAGTGGATGACAAGAACTTCTAGGAATAATTTGGCTTGCTGAAGAACTAACCCTACCCACTAGTGGCACATTACAGGGAAACTGAGGTAACCCTGGAGAAGTAAAATATGCTGTAAGCTGTTGCATGTAATCTTTATCACACAAAGAGATGGAGAAGAAAGCATTAGTGAGATCTATAACAGCATGCCAGTTTCCCCTGTGGGCTACCAGTACTTTGGGGATAACAATAATGTCAGGTACCGAGGGTGGCATCTTGGCATTCAATCTGTGGTAGTTAGCCTCCAGGCTTTTGAGACTTTTTTTTACAGGATGGACTGGCTGCTAACTGCAACAGGTTGGTGTCTAACATTCTTGTCTGGAGCAAGTCCTATATCAACAGGGCAATGCTCTGTGCCTGGTATGCTGCACTGCTTTTGTTGAATAATCCTTCAGGACTTGGGCTTGGGTAACTTAGGTGACCAGTAAGGGTGAATGCACCACTCTGTTATGGCTTGAATCTTGTGTAATGAAGGGACATATCCCCCGAGGCAACAGTGATGTTTTGTGCCACAAGCAGCCAAAATGCCTATAATGCACTCAATTGCGTGAACCATGATTACTGTTGCCCCAAATGGCCCAAGAACCCCATTTGTAAGCACACGTGAACCTGCATGTGAGCTATGTTAGCTATGCATCACTGTGTTTGTCCCCAAACCTCCTACTTTCATAAGCTTAGCCCTACCCCTGTGGAGACCTCTGCCTATTATGATTTGATCACCAGTATCCATGAGCCACAAAGAAGTTTGAATTCTCTCTTTTTTTCTTTTAATTTGTCAGGCATGTAAGTCCATTAGGCCCCAGCAGAGACTCAGAGACCTTGGTCTCATTCCTAATCATTCTTTTTGAGGGCGTGAAGTCAAGATACATGCAAAGGGGATCACATCTTCCTTGTCTGATTCATTGCACTGAATTGGGATCATATTCCTCATTGACTTGGTTGGGGCATCAGAAAGCCTTAAAACCCCATGCACCCCTGTTCACAAAACATGTTCAGGGACTCTGAGAGCTACCATGCAGGATTCTAACTAAATCTGATGTGGGTCTTCCTCTCCTCTTTTTCTTTAGCTTAACTGAGGGCCTTACCCTCCAAATTGGGGGAACACACTCTCTGCCTCCTTAGAGTGTTGGCAGACTTTTCATTTTTATTTTTATTTTTTGTCCCATGGACTTTTATTTTTACTACCCCTTGTCTTAACAAGCAAAGTCACATTACTCTGCAGGCTGGCCTTATTCCCTTTGGTTTTTTGTTTGTTTGTGTGATTTTTCCTCTTGTCACCCATTGAGGTCCCCTGTTGGTTCTTTGGCATTGTTACCACTACCATGTTGGGTTTCCATTCACCCAGGCCTGAATCACAGGAAATCACTGAAACCATCTGCCATTTGCATCCCAATATGAACCATTTCTGTAGAGCTTCTCCATTGCTTCCCCCATGGTCATTTCAAGGGACAACAGAAAGAGTAATGGGGTCTTCCAATGGGGATGCTGTGCTTCATGAAAGCTTGCAGTGTGGCTCAGGACAGAACTATCTTTTTCACATTTACAGGGGAAAGGTTATATAGCCAAGAATCCATGGCTTTTACCAGAAGCCACTAAAGCTTTGTGAACATTTTTTTGAGGGGTAGTTCAGGGAAATTCCCCACTGTTGGGAATATTGCTCTCAAGCTTCCCTCAACCAAGATCATGAGCGACATGGGCTGATGTCAGTCTCTGTTTTGTTAGTTGTTATGTCTGATATTGGCAATAAATGTTCTGTATGAGAGAACTAGTTCAAAAAATTATAATGCATTACTATTAAGCTTAAAGCTATCTTTTCTTCTAACAAATATTTACTGAGAACTCTGTATTGAGATGATGTTATACTGGAACTCTGAGATGCATCAACAGAGAGTCCTTTACCCTGGTCACTGAGAAATCTACAATCTAATGTCAAATATATCTAATTAAATTGTTAGAATTAAACATGATTAGTGCTTTAGTAGTTGTTGAATAGGGTGGAAGGTAGAGAAGAAAGGTAGAAATCCTCTCTGGAGTGCTGTGGAACAAATGGATGCTAAGAACAAATATGCATTTGACATGAGAAAAGAAAAGGCAATGCAAGCAAGAGAAAAACTTGTAAAAACACAGAGTTATCAAAGATGGGAATTGAAAGAAATTCTGAAACATCACTTTGATCTGAGCTTGGGTAACCTAAATGGCATAGAGGAGAGATGTGAAGAAAGATTCTCAGCATAGAAAAAGGTTTAAGTTTAAGTTAGAAAGGTAAGGGGGAGAAAGTTTAGTAATTCGGTTCTATAAGACAGAAAGGGAAAATTGCCAAAGCCTTCCGGTAAAGAATATTCATTAACCTTAAATGAGAGCCACAGGAAAAAAGATTTGCTTTCACAAATGTTGTGTATATCAGCAAGACATGGACTGTCTGAAAACCCTGTTATTAGTCTGAGAATAAAGCTGACACACAGATCATATCAAAGCTGAGAGTTTCAAAGTTCTTCAAAGAAATAAAGCTGGGATTCTTACGGTACCATACATGATCTCACCAGAAATGTCCAGCTAGATGAGCCAACAAATCCCCTTAATTGTTCACACCAGTGATGCACCACACAGACTCAAAATGATCTGAGGGGCTTGTTTAAATATTAGATATAGCAGTGTTAAGATATTTCAGAAGTATGTAAAATAAAACAGTTTTAATTTAAAATTTGAGATAAGTATTTTTAAACTATTAAATACATTTTTGTCACATAGAAATATGTTAAATTATTAAATAAAAAATAAAGTTGCAAACCAAAACATACTCCATGATTCCATTATTGTGAACAAAATAACAGTTAAATATAGAAAGTTTTATATATGTTTTAAGGGCTCCAAAATGCAAAGCAAATGGGGAAGGAGGTTTACCTATGGGAAGAAGAATGGCATTAGGTATTTTGATATCTTAGTCTTTTAAAATAAGCTTCAACACTTATATTTATAGAATACATGTGCAGTTAAAATATTTTTAAAGGGAAAATACATATTAATAAATATTTTGGTGAGGTACTGAAATTTTATAATAGGGGCTTAGATTAGATGATTTAAATTTGGTATAGAGAGAAAAATAAATCTAAGTAGACTAATATAGTGAATAGATTCAAAAATCAATACAGATAGAAAAAGAATGCCCATAGGCAAACTCGAAAATGACAAATATTAAAAGAAAATAATGACAACATAGTAATAAATATTAATGATATGCTGTCATTCAGATCTACCTGCAGAGGAACTATGAGACAAACTAAATTCAGGCAAAATTGAATGTTTTCTTCTAGAGACACAACTTCAACAAATAAGAGTGACCCATGAACTATTATGGTTCAGTTCTACTTGATAAATATTGTAAAATAGACAAGTATTATGAATACTAACACATCATCTCAGACCTAATTTTATTTCTACATATGTACATATATATGCCACTTCAGCAGATGCAAAATAGTTTAATAATTTTAAGCAATCAGCTATTCCTATGACATCTTTACAACAAATTTTATGTAAGTAGAGAAACTATCTATTGACTGCTAAAAATCAAATAGCCAAACATTTTATGAATGCTTCACATTTGCCAGAAACTGTTCTAAAAGCTCTAGATGTATTAACCCATTTAATTTTCACAGAAATTCTATAGATTAAATATTTCCTATCTCCCTATATTTTTTTTAGACGAACAAGCAAAGACCCCACAAGGCTAATTTTCAGAGCTAGTAAATGAGAGAAGAGAATACAAGGAAAATGAAGAAAGACAAAATATTAGCATCTCTGACATTTACAGAATAGATGGGAGAGAAGAACCTGGAGGAAAGCTGTAAAGGGTACATCAGAGAGGTAAGATGAAAATCAAGGGCATATGATACTAAGAAGGAGTTTCTGGAATGGGAAAGGGGTCCAAGGTTTAGAATTCCACTGCCATAGAGGAACATCTGGAGACTCTCAATGACTCTGACAAGGTCAGTTTTACTGATATGAAAGTGATGGGGGGAAGCCAAAAGTCTGATAGCAATAGATTGAATTAGTGAATAGGTGATTTCTGGGCTAAGCTTTGAAGGAGAGTAACAAAGTGGGAGAATGATTGCAAAGAGTATGTTATCATGAGTTGGCTTTGTCATCACCAGCATCTTCATTTCCTAGACCGAAGCTCTTAATGTTTAGTTTTTTGTTCAATATGTAGCCATTTTTCTGAATTCTGCCCACCTTGGCCCCAGAGCACTGATAATCCATAGACAAGATCTTAAAAAACAAATATTAAAAAGAACAATCTCAATGAATCATCATGGATTCATAACTTTCTGTTGCTCAAATCTGCCTGCAGAAGACTATGAAGTCAGAATGAGTTTAGGCAAAATTCAGTAATTTTCTAATAGAAGGAAATACTGTTTCAACCACTGACATCTGAAAGACTAAGGAACTCATATAGTTCTACTCAACTTGATACAAACTGAAAAAAGTCAACCATGTTTATTGTCTTTTTCCACATGTACTCAGACCCACTCACCTCTTGCCTCCATGGCTCCTATATCCCAAAGCTTGAGAAACATCTTTACAACTATTCCAACCCAAACTTCTGATTCCCTTCACCACATTGGATAAATAAGCTCTCTGGCTACCTTCATAAGTTCTTAAACATTACCATTTCTAGACACTATTATTACTAGACTTCCTAAAACAACCAAGGTGACTATTCTAATGATTCTCCTACCACAAGCAAACAAATGTGAACTGTACTGTACAAGCAAATCTCATAGCAACATGTTCAGTATTTGGCAGGCATTCAAAAAGTGCCATACCTTATTGTAAATAATGTGTGCTGGTAATAATGTGGCAGACACTGAGTATTTGTTTGTTCTTCTTCCTGGGAACACTAGTACTTTACATTTCAATTATATGTGGTCAATTGGCTAAGCAACGACAGATATCAAAAGACTTTTTCAGATTTAAACTTTAAAAATTTGCTCTGGCTGAAATGTGGAGAGTGAATAAATGGTAGGGAAAATCTATATTTGGGAAGAGAATATTATAATTTTAGGCACGCTGATTTGTATTGCAAGTTTAAGAAACTGGTGACTATTTTTAGGAGGCAATTAGATACTGGAGAGTGAGCCTCAAATATAGGATTTGAGGCTGGGCATGGTGGCTCAGGCCTGTAATCCCAGCACTTTGGGAGGCCAAGGCTGCTGGATCACCTGAGGTCAGGAGTTCTAGAACAGCCTGGCCAACATGGCAAAACCCCATCTCTGATAAAAGTACAAAAAATTAGCTGAATGTGGTGGTGGGTGCCTGTAATCCAAGCTACTTGGGAGGCTGAGGCAGGAGAATTGCTTGAACCTGGGAGGTAGAGGTTGCAGTGAGCCGAGTTTGCGCTATTGCACTCCAGCTTGGGCGACAAAGCAAGAGGCTGGTTGAAACAGTATTACCTTCTATGAGAAAATTACTCAATTTTGCCTAAATTAATTCTGACTTCATAGTCCTCTGCAGGCAGATTTGAGTAACAGAATGCTGTGAATCTATGACGATACACTGATATTTTTTTCTGTCTCAAAAATAAAAGATAGGATTTGGGCAGTTCGTATACATTTGAGATTTATGCATGTGTATATGACAACTGAGCACATGTTTATGAATTTGGTTAATTAAGGGAAGGTTATTGATTTGATTTAAAAAGAATATCTATACTCATTAAGTGGATTTCCTCTATTTCAAGTTTGCAAGGAAATGGTTAGTATGTAGAGAATAAGTGTCAAGAGATGTAGGTGGTAAGTTGGAGAGTTTATGTTGAGAAAACCAAAAAAATGATGCTTTGGTAATGAGGGTCAAGAAAGGAAAAGTGACTTACTCAAGCTGACAGTTAATAAATTAATACATGATGGAGATGGAATTTTTAATTTTTTTTATTTCTTCTTTAAAAAATGGGATACATGTGAAGAATGTGCAGGTCTGTTACATAGGTATATGTGTGCCATAGTGGTATGCTGCACCTATTGACCCATCCTCTAAGTTCCCCCACCACCCCCCAGCAGGCCCTAGTGTATGTTGTTCCCCTCCCTGAGTCCATGTGTTCTCACTGTTTCACTCCCACTTATGAGTGAGAACATGTAATGTTTGGTTTTCTGTTCCTGTGTTAGTTTGCTGAGGATGCTGGCTTCTAGCTTCATCTATGTCCCTGCAAAGGACATAACCTCATTCCTTTATGGCAGCATAGTATTCCATTTGTATATGTACCACATTTTTCTTATTCAGTCTATCATTGATGGGTATTTGGTTTGGTTCCATGTCTTTGCTATTGTAAATAGTGATGCAATAAACATACACGTGCATGTGTCTTTATAGTAGAATGAGTTATATTCCTTTGTGTATATACCCAGTAATCCCAAGCAAAAAGAACAAAGCTGGAGGCATCATGCTACCTGACTGCAAGGCTAAAGTAACCAAAACATCCCAGTACTGGTATCAAAACAGGCATATAGACCAATAGAGCAGAACAGAGAACTCAGAAATAACACTACACATCTACAACCATATGATCTTCAACAAACAAGCAATGGGGAAAGGATATCCTATTCAGTAAATAGTGCTGGGAAAACTGGCTAGCCATATGCAGAAAACTGAAACTGGACCCCTTCCATATGCCTTATACAAAAATTAACTCAAGATGGATTAAAGACTTAAATGTAAAACCCAAAATTGTAAAAACCCCAGAAGAAAACCTAGGCAATACCGTTTAGGACACAGGCATGGGCAAAGACTTCATGACAAAAACACCAAAAACAATTGCAACAAAAGCCAAAATTGACAAATAGGATCTAATTAAACTAAAGAGCTTCTGCACAGCAAAAGAAACTATCATCAGAGTTAACAGGCAACCTACAGAATGGAAGAAAGTTTTTGCAATCTACCCATCTGACAAAGGTCTAATATCCAGAATTTACAAGGAGGTGGAATTTCAAGCCAGGATTGCTGTTCCTAGGGTCCTGGCTTTGAAACACATGCTCACTTGTGAGTTATTTTGATATCTAAAACTTCATTAAACTGCTTGAACTGCCAGTGAAATTATCAGTATTTAATTGCAGATATCTGGCACTGACGTCTTTTCCGGGAAAAATTTTCAGTGTTCTCAGGGTTCTTTTGTCATTAAGGTAAACAATGTGAAAAGGTGAGCTGATATTTAGACAAGCTGAAATGGTTATTCTTTCTTGAATAAAGTTTGCTTGAGGATGAAACTATAAAATAAAACCATAATTGCAAATCTCATTTTTTATTGAATCAGCCAGTAAAGGGTGTCTACTATATGCCTACCAGACACTGGATCATTCCTTTATTTTATAAACCATTCATTTGGTTCATAATTTGATGAATATTTTCCTCATAAACATGATAACTTCCATAATATTAGTAGTAATATTTTTGGATAATTTCTATTTTTCAGGTATTATGTAAGTATTTTACATGCATTGTATCACTTAATGTGGGAGCCTAGAAAGTCCATAGAATATTGTGAACATTGAATGTGATTATGCACTTAGAGACCTTAGGTCAGATATTTAATAATAAAGCAGACATATAAAATAAGTAGAATCAATAATCCCATTGTAAAAAGTGATAGTGGAAATTAAATACACTAAATGAATGGTCAAAATCATATAAAACTGGGACAAGACCTAAGGTTGTTTGGCACCAAATGACATACAAACTTACTGGCTGATGATTGCTTCTCAGAACCAATATTTTTCACTGCTTCTTCTGAGACATCTATGAAATTTTTCATGAGTTTGTGATACACTGAAAGAAGAAAACACATTTTCAAATCTATATTTTATTTTACTATTGATTGCAATATTGATATATGTGTGGGTATGTATTAAGGGATTTTTTTATTGAGCATTTAACAGATTTCAAAATTTGTGCTAAGTATTTGCATAAGTTGTCTCAGCAAAGTGGAAGTGGTGTCTGAAAATCTGTCTTCTAGTCCTATTGATGGCAGCAGCAGCTCCAGTTGACCTGCCACTACCATCACGCCAGCTGCAGCAGGGAGGCGTGGGCAGGGCTGCACACTCCATGACACAGGCAGGAGCCTCCCCTTCATAGTGGGGCTACAGCTGCCCAAATTGTGACTGTAGATCAGAGCCTCCCTGTGCTCTTAAGGGGCTGGGAGCAGTTAGGAGCCCTGCCTCCTGGACACAACAGCAGCTGCCCAAACTGCAGCTGCAAACTCAGGCATCACTGCACTCTTGGGGGCCCAGGAAGGCCGCCCTGTTCTCATAGGCTCTGAAGTTCCTGCTCCTGCTGCCTGACTTCTCCCTGCTGTTGGTATCTGCTCTGATCTCAGGGCAAATTCAGGACCAACTCTAAGTGCCATGAGTGGCAGCAGGTGGCAGACAGATTCCTGGGTGGAAGGGGGCATGTCCTGGTGAGGCCCCACCTTCAGGGCAGGGAGGGGCTGAAAGCTGGGGGCTGGGCTGCTAGTCCCATAAACTTGTGTGGGAATTTGTGGTGCCTTTTCTTGACCCATGGACCAATCAGCATGCCCTTCTTCCCCCTCTTGGAGGCCCATAAAAGCCCCAGACTCAGCCAGAGCTGAGCAGATGGGACAACCAGCTGCAGAGAGGGTAGCTCCTGCAGAGAACTTCAGAGATCTGCAGAGATGTTGGGACTACCAGCTGCAGAGAGGAGCCACCCACTCCAGGGCCTCCTCTCTGCCAAGAGCTGAACCCTCAATGAGACAACCTGCCTACAGAGAGGAGCTACCCACTACAGGTCTCCTCTGAACAGTTCTAATACACAATAAAGCTCCTCTTCTCACTCACCCTCCACTTGACTGAGTACCTTATTCTTCCTGGACACAGGACAAAAACTCCGGTAAAGGTGCCACCAGCCACAGAGGTTTCTGGCCAGAAAAGTGACACCCCAAAGATCCTGTGACATTATCTTTTCCACTATCAAATTATTTGACTATCCCTTACTATTTAAGTTTTTTTAAATGTGAGCATGGGAAAGAGACCTTTATTAACTTAAGCAATAAATAAATTACTGGGAAGAACATAGAGGAGCTCACAAAATTGAGAGAAAAAATAAAGAAGGAGATGCAGGTAACACAGGGACCAGAGTTCCTCCAGAATACAGGATTGTAGTGTCCAGTTTCTTCCAGATGCTGCCAAACGTATGATTGAGCATCAAACATTTCCTTTATTTGAATAATGCTGTTAAGGTTTCAAAATTCAG
This sequence comes from Homo sapiens, assembly GCF_000001405.40. NCBI lineage: Eukaryota > Metazoa > Chordata > Mammalia > Primates > Hominidae > Homo > Homo sapiens. The sequence goes on from NC_000013.11 coordinate 81,331,580, forward strand.
AGAAAGAGTATTAGATTGGCCAATCATGGTGAGGGCATAATGACTGAAAGTACAATCAATCTTCCTCAAATTAAAAAAAAAAGTATTCAAGAAGAGGAAATGGAAACCACATTGCTAAAAATAAAAAGATTCTACATCATACATAATTGGGGAATTACAAATTAAAACAATGCACTACCACTTAGAATGATCAAAATCCAAAACACTTGACAATGTCATATGCTGGGAAGGATCTGGAGCAATCAAAATTCTCATTTTTTGGAAATGCAAAATAGTACAACCACTTTTGAAGACAGTTTGGCAGTTTCTTAGAAAGCTAAACATAATCTTACTGTATGATTAATCAATCATGCTCTTTGGTATTTATTCAAAGGAGTTTAAAACTTATGTCCACACAAAAACATGCATGTGGATGTCTACCGTGATTGCCAAAACTTGCAAGCACCAAAATGTCAATCTATCAAGCCTCAAATGTATATTAATAAGTGAAAGAAGCCAATGGGAAGATGGTATATGCTGTATAATTTCAACCATGTGACATTCTGGAAAGGCGACAGCAAAGAGATAGTAAAGAGATCAGTGGTTGTCAGGGGTTGGGGAAGGGAGGAATAAATAGGGAGAGCACAGGTGGTCTTTAGGGCAGTGAAACTGTTGTGAATGATACAGTAATGGTGGATACCTGTATTTTACATTTGCCCCAAATCATAGAATCTAGGACAAGAGTGAAACCTAATGTAAACTATGGACTTTGGGTGATGATGATGTGTCAATATAAGTTCATCAACTGTAACAAACATACTGCTCTGGTGGGGGATATTGATAATGAGGGAGATGGTGCATGTATAGGGGCTGGGGTATATGGGAAATCTCTGTACCTTTCACTTAATTTTCCTATGAACCTGAAACTACTATAAAAAATAAAATCTATCAAAAAAAAAATAAGACCCATGAATTATTAACTATACTTATAAATAATATATTAACTCTCTGACCATATGTCTTTATGTAGCAGAATTTTTTATATTTTTGCCAGAATAAGGAAATTCTTTTACTTATTCTTCTACCAGAGTTTAAGGATTGTCACAAATAACATATAAAAGTGCTTTGGAAATTGTTATGTAAAAGTACTATTGTTTTATTTTGATATAAATTACAGAAATTGAATAAATGAGGAAAATAATCTCAGAGTATGTGTAAAAGGAGTGATAATGGATAGAGTTAAAGATAGAAGAGTATAAAATTGTGACATTAAATATATCATTTATAACTTTTTGTTTTTCATATTTAATTTATTGTTTCTCATTTTCAAAATTCCTGTTGAAAACAGGAATTTTCTGAGTTCTCAAGCACTGCATGGTATTTCCTTTAGGGCAACATCACTGCTGTGTACTTGTTAAATAATACCTAATACCACATGTATGTTAGAAGAAGATTTGTTCTTTTGAATTAAGAATTCTTAATGAATGCTTATTTAAGGTAGAGCCACAGAAAGGAGAATGCCTGCCTCACCTGTTGCAGGTGGGTACAATCTACTTTTTGCCTCAGATTCTTCCCAGCGTGCTTGTAAATTCAGACAGTTCTTTGGAACTTATTCTATTTCCTTCTCCCTGCAGAAAGGCTTAGAAATATGCCAGCCACATACAGGCTATTACTTAATGAAAAGAGGTTTTCTCCTGGAATTAATTAGATGTTGGGCCCAGCAAAGAAAATGTATGTAGCAGGAGCAGTTCTACTTTCTTTTAAAAAGGAGGGATAATTGAGTTGATTATAGTCAAAAATGAATCCCTGATACTAAAAATTTAGAAAGAGAAAACAAATAAAGAACAAATTATTTTTTACAAGAAACTCTTGAATGAAAAATTGTCCTAACAAATGGGTATTCAGTCTTCACTTTATCATTGTCTACAATCAACACATAGGACACAGACTATTTAAAAACATAGATTTCTTCAAAATACAATCGTGTTGTCAAGTACTTTTGAAAGACAAAAGGTGAAGGTGTGAACAGCATGTTAATTTCAACAGGAAAAAATATCTTTATCTTATCAAGGTCAAATGAAATTTAAAATGCATTATAGAAAGTGATAATTTACTGATGGCAGCAGCAGCTATAATGCATGTAATATAATTTGATAGCAAGAGATTGTTGGCTATGTTCTTTGATTAAATACCTGGGACTCGATTCTTTTTAAAAAATGCCTAAAAATACAGTTCTCGTCAGCCACAGAGCATTGTGTTCTGGGACATTTTGTGTGATTTATGCAATTTATATTAGCCAGAACTCTTATAGCATTAAGCCTCTAACCACCAAAGTGTAAAACTAAATTATTATTTCAGTGGGGATAGGAGAGAACATTTAAAAATATTCAATAATGCTATAGTCCAAATGCTTTTCATGGCTCACCATTTTTCATATTAATCTAGTTCAGAATGCTGCTATTAAATTAACATTTAATTATTATTACATTGTGACCACTTGTAACAGGCAACTAAATACTGAACTAAGCCGTAACATACATAGCACACAAGAAATTTTCTCAAAATAGTTATTTTATGCTTTCACTGACAAGAGTACATATTGCAAATCTCAAGTAAGAATATTGCTCTCAACAGCATAATATAATCTTTAGTTTTTACTATTTCATTTTGAAAATAACATAACTGAGTTATTTCACACTATCATGCCATGGCAAGATGGAAAAAATATGAGCAATACATTTTAAAATTTATGTTGGTGGCAAAATTTACAGAAACAATTCATAGTAGGGCTCTACCCAAACTTGCACTTGGTTATAATAGAGAAGAACACAGGAAAGAGGAATAATATATGGTTATAAATATTTAGATACCAAATCATTGAGCCATGGTTGATGACTTCCCAAGTGCTTCTCTACCGGCAACGTAGGAGTTAACTACTCCTAAACTAAACAACTAATACAATAATTCCTTGATAGTCAGGCTCTAATAATTAGTTCAGTCTTCTACAGGAAAAAGATCTGCGACAAAATTACCTAGCACATAGTGACCAAAATCTGTGTTAGTTTCCCGTTGCTATTGTAACATATTACAACAGACTTCGTTGCTTATAACCACAAAAATTTATTATCTTATTGTTATTGAGGTCTGAAGTCCAAAATGGGTCTTACACGGCTAAAATCAAGGTATCACCAGACCTATTTTCTTTCAGTTTCTTCTGTTCCAGGAGTGAATCTCTCTCTTGCCTCTTCCTTGCTTGCTTGCTTCCTTCCTTCCTTCCTTCCTCTCTCTCTCTCCCCCTCCTTCCTTCTTTCTCTCTCTTTCTTTCTCTCTTTCTTTCTTTTTATTTTCTTCTTTCTTCGTTCTTTTTTCTTTCTCTTGCTCTGTCACCCAGGCTGGAGTGCAGTGGCATGATCTTGGCTCACTGCAACCTCCGCTTCCCAGGTTCAAGCAATTCTCCTGTCTCAGCCTCCTGAGTAGCTGGGATTACAGGCATGCTCCACCACGCCTGGCTAATTTTTGTATTTTCAGTAGAGACTAAGTTTCACCATGTTGGTCAGGCTGGTCTCAAACTCCTGACCTTGTGATCCACCTGCCTCGGCCTCCCAAACTGCTGGGGTTACAGGCATGAGCCATCGTGCCCAGCCTTCTTGCCTTTTTTAAATTCTGGAGGCTGCACACGTTCCTTGAATTGTGATCCCCTTCCAGCAATTGGATCATTCTGACATGTCACGTGATGTGTTATTACGTTATATTATATATATATATTATAATATATGTAAATAAATCCTTTTTCATGAGGCATTTGTCAAAATCGTATTTTTCAGTGTAGTGCCAAATTCCAACAACATTTTAATTCTGAACATTGAGGAGAGTGTAGTGTCATCTAAGCAAAAGAGCATGTGAAAGATCTGCAAAATCTTTCTTCTCAGAGAAGTAATACTATATATAATTATTATTAGTGTCATTTACATGAATTAAACATATTGGGAGCTCAGGAAAATCATTTCCAACATAAATAATATTTGTTCAGTTACTGTTTTAATATAATATGATCAGAAATGTCTGTCTTTCTAATATTATCATACATTTTTAAATAAAAAATACTGGTATTTAAAAATAATTGGGTCAGTTTTTACAAGTACTATTTTGCAAATGGCTTTGATTTAGTTTTGCACTCTGTGTTTTACTAGTTTCTACTCAATGAAAAATAAATTTGATATATTGGCAATAAACATAATATTGTACAAGCTATGTATTAAATTTATCATAATTATTACTATACTTAAATGTACTGGATTGAAATAATGAAGAAAATAGACAAAAAATGTTCATAAACATTTGCATGTCAATTTTTACTAACTGCTTTTCTCTTCATATCCCAGATACACACTATTCCACTCACCTCTTACTGCTCAACTCAGGTGTCATTTCCTCCTGCATTCATTCCTATAAACTCCTTCCGGTTTTCAAGAAGCAAAATAAATATTTTATAAATTATACGCTTTTTAGGTAATCAACTTATGAGCTTTATAGAGACATTAATTTTTGCCTGTTCTTTTGTATTTCACCAGTGCCTATCTTGAGGATTGGAACATACGTAGTGGATATTCTATTGTATTTGCTGAGAGATTGATGGAATCAATGATAAATGAGTAAGTGAGGGTAAAATTTGGCATTCAATATTATTTTAAATTATCCTCCATAGCTCTATAAACTCTAGTGGTTTTATCCATAGCCCCCAACAAGGCAGGTCCACATCTGAATCTCTAGCATCAGTGAACCTGAAAGCCTTATTTGAAAAAATATATATGCAGATATAATTAAAGATCTTGAGATCAGAACATCCTGAATTACCTGGTAGGCCCTAAATCTAAAATGTTCTTATAAGTGGCAGAAGATGTAACAAAAGATACCCACATAGAGGAAAAGGCAATGTGAAGACTGAGACAGAGATTGGAGTGATGTAGCCACAAGCCAAGGAAGCCAAGTAATACAGAGCCGCCAGAAGCCAGAAGAGGGAAAAAAGCATTCTTCATTGCATCTTCCAGAGGTAGTACTTCCCTGCTGATAGCTTGATTTGGGGCTTCTGGTCTCCAAAGCTATGGGAGAATACCTTTCTGTTATTTTAAGCCACCAAGTTTGTGGTAATATCTTATGGCAATTCTAGGAGACTTATACAAGTATTATCGGAAAATATAAAATAAACAGAAACCAACTTCACTATCCTCAAGAGCCTTGTCTATTTAAGAGCAGCTATCCACTTATTTCCAAACACACATACACACATTTATACAGACAGACACTTACACACCCATACACAACAAATGAGAAATCCACCGTATCAAAAATTGAAAATTAATATACATATACATAATTAATGTTGAATAAGTGCAAAGTCAATTTCAAAATGTGTAACTTTATGTCAAATTATTTGATTTATTTGGAATGTAAATGGAACTTTCACAGTAATAGTTTAATTCAGGTATTATATCATCATATCTATTTATGTAAATTGATTTTCTTAGTTGATTATCAGTAATGCTATTTCACAGTTTGGAAAAAGTAGATAGAAAACATCTTGGAAAAGTCAAATAAATAGTAACTGATCAAGAATGAGCAGAATTGAGTGTTGAACTGGATTTCTCCCATGCATGCTGGCTGCTTGGAGTCATTTGATTTGAGAACCCATTATTAAAGTTGAGTATTTGTCACATTAGGTCCAGCTTTCCAAGACAGAAGTCAGGAATTCATTATCCCAGATACTAATCATTTACAATTTTTTAAAGGTCAAGAATGAAGGCATAGAGACTGCTGGGAATTCTGGTATTTGGCAATGGCGGTGGGGGGCTCTGGCTTTTGAGAGCAGTGGTGAAAAAGATTTGGGTACTGCAAAATACGGCACCCATGTCAGGTTGGTGAAGCAGAAAAGTCTCAATGGGACTTTCACTCAGTATTTTTAGCATTTTCTTTGAAGGATCATGTGCAAGTCTCTGATTTTCTTTATAATTACTTTTTTTTTCTTCAAACTGCTAAAGTGGGTTTTCTTTATAGAACTGACTCACTCCAATTACAAATTAGAAGAGAATGAGATGAAGAATTGAGGAAAGCTTAGGAAGTTTAAGTTTAGATTGGACAGGGGGTGATTATAAATAAGTGAGTGATGATTTGACATTTTATATGAGAATATTGGAAAACATAAGCAAATTTTCTCCTCTCCTATATCTAATTGGATTACTCAATCACATTATTATTTCTTTTTTATATGTCTATGTCCCCTTCCCTTTTCTTCTGCTAACTCATTGTTGCAGTAGTCTCCTTGATGATTTCTTGGCATTCAATCTAATCTTTATTCTTTATGTAAAAAAGTAAAATCTTTCTAAATAACCATATCAGGATGTCAATCACATGATTGAATTCATTTCTCTAGTCCAAATAAATAAAGTCATGAATAGATAAATGAGTGATAGTATGTTGCCATCTGCAGTGGATCTTAACTGGTTCAACATATACTGGCAGCAAAACAAAGGAATAGTTTTGGTTGATTTAAAAAATAAGAATTTGCTTTTTTATCAATCACAATGTTTATTAACAGGTGTGACATGTCATTTCATGATATTAAATTGAATAATTACAGCATTTTATCTTTGTGTTCTAAATTTACAGTGAAAAATAACAACAAATTGTTTCTACTAACCAAAATTGTTTTGTTGTGTTTTATTGTAAACAATTTACACTAAGCCAGATGCAGTGGCTCACACCTATAATCCCAGCACTTTGGGAGGCCAAGGTGAGAGGATTACTTGAGCCCAGGAGTTTGAGACTATCCTAAGCAACACAGCAAGACTCCATCTCTACAAAAAGTTTTTTAAAAGCCACTGTGGTGGTGAATGCCTGTTGTCTCAGCTACTTGGGAGACTGAGTTGGGAGAACTGCTTGAGCCCAGCAGTTCAAGGCTGTAGTGAGCCATGATCTTGCCACTGTACTCCTGGGCAACAGAGCAAGATCCTCTTTCAAAAGAAAAAAAATCCTTAAAAATCTTATTTTTATTAACATTTTATTTTCTTTGAATTTACTGCTATTTTTGTAGTAAAATGTACCTACAAAAACATTGTTATTTTAATCTACTAAAGGAATTATTTTTGTTTTAATACATTTGGATGCCAAAGCAATAAAATGTACTCCTGACATTACTAATGCAAATGGTATGCCTTTAACATGAATCTAAATGGTAAATAGAATTACAGAATACTTGAAAGTATAACTATTCTTTTTTATGTATAATGATATTCTTGGGTGATAAAAAGCTTTTTTTTTTGTTTGTTTCAACCATAATGAAGTTCCTGTTTCAGTGTAATATGTAAAGCAGGCTTATTCAAAAGCATGGAAAGAACCAGTGTAAATTCCTGAACAAAATATTTCAAAAGGTTCTATATTCTAGAATTACCTTGCTAAGTTTACATGCATCTCTCTCTATCATGATCCCTATACACCTGCTGAAAACATTTTATGCCCCTTTTTGAAAGTACTTTTTGAGTTGATTTATGCATTAACTCCCTTTCTACTACTACAAGAGCAAAGAAAACACCCTGTACAAAGCCTTATTTGAACACCTCAGCTACATAAAAATGCTTACAGTATTCACTAATCCTACCACTCACTTTTTGTATATCACATACAATACTATATCATTAATCTGTAGATATAAAAAGTAATGTTTCTCAAAAATCATATGATAAACTTCAGGAACACAAACACTAGATCTAAAACTTGTTTGATTTCCAGGCAATAAAATTTATTGCTGTTTATAGTAAATAAAACTTAAGTCAGGGCTACAATAGTTTTGTTATATTTATTTTCTTATTTAATTAAAAATCACTTCATGGTATGAATATCAATATCCCCACAGTGATAAAAACTAATCACTATAATTTTTGAAGATATTTCCTTAAAGTGATACCATGAAGAGAGTTAGGATCGGAAGGCTAATCCTGTGCTTCTCCTGCTAAAATTTATGGCCTCAGGATTGAAGGTTTTCTTACAAAAGGATGAGTTTTCCCTATCTCATGTTCCAAAGATTCTCAATGCCTGAGTACACAAATTTTAAGAACAAAAGACCCTAAATTTATTAATTATTATTATTTTCTTACCTGTTGGTTTCTGCTTGAGAGGCCTAATTTGCTTCTTCAGCCTGGGAATTTAAATTTTCTTCCATGGCAGGAAACAAAGGTCATAATGTGTCCAGAATTGGTGGGTTCTTGGTCTCACTGACTTCAAGCATGAAGCCACGCCCCTCGCGGTGAGTGTTACAGCTCTTAAGATGGCGCGTCTGGAATTTGTTCCTTCTGATGTTAAGATGTTTTCGGAGTTTCTTCCTTCTGGTGGGTTCGTGGTCTCGCTGGCTCAGGAGTGAAGCTGCAGACCTTCGCGGTGAGTGTTACAGCTCTTAAGGCGGCGCCTCTGGAGTTGTTTGTTCCTCCAGGTGGGCTCGTGGTCTCGCTGGCTTCAGGAGTGAAGCTGCAGACCTTCGCGGTGAGTGTTACAGCTCTTAAGGCAGGGCCTCTGGAGTTGTTCCTTCCTCCAGGTGGGCTCGTGGTCTCACTGGCTTCAGGAGTGAAGCTGCAGACCTTCGCGGTGAGTGTTACAGCTCATAAAAGCAGAGTGGACCCAAAGAGTGAGCAGTAGCAAGATTTATTGCAAAGAGCGAAAGAACAAAGCTTCCACAGTGTAGAAGGGGACCTGAGCAGGTTGCAACTGCTGGCTCTGGCAGCCTGCTTTTATTCTCTTATCTGCCCCCCGCCAACCCCCGCCATCCACATCCTGCTGATTGGTAGAGCCCAGTGGTCTGTTTTGACAGGGCACTGATTGGTGCTTTTACAAGCCCTGAGCTAGACACAAAGGTTCTCCCCTTCCCCACCAGATTAGCTAGATACAGAGTGTGGACACAAAGGTTCTCCAAGGCCCCACCAGAGTAGCTAGATACAGAGTGTCGATTGGTGCATTTACAAACCCTGAGCTGGACACAGGGTGCTGATTGGTGTGTTTACAAACCTTGAGCTAGATACAGAGTGCCGACTGGTGAATTTACAATCCCTGAGCTAGACATAAAGGTTCTCTACGTCCCCACCAGACTCAGGAGCCCAGCTGGCTTCACCCAGTGGATCCCGCACCGGGGCTACCGGTGGAGCTGCCTGCCAGTCCCGTGCCCTGCGCCCGCACAATTCAGCCCTTGGGTGGTTGATGGGACTGGGCGCTGTGGAGCAGGGGGCGGCGATCATCGGGGAGGCTCCGGCCGCACAGGAGCCCACGGAGGGGATGGGAGGCTCAGGCATGGCGGGCTGCAGGTCCCAAGCCCTGCCCCGCGGGAAGGCAGCTAAGGACCGGCGTGAAATCAAGTGCAGCGCCGGTGGGCTGGCACTGCTTGGGGACCCAGTACACCCTCCGCAGCTGCTGGCCTGGGTGCTAAGCCCCTCATTGCCCGGGGCGGCAGGGCGGGCCGGCTGCTCCGGGTGCGGGGCCGGCCAAGCCCACGCCCACCCGGAACTCCAGCTGGCCAGCAAGCGCCTGGGGCAGCCCGGGTTCCCGCTCACGCCTCTCCCTCCACACCTCCCTGCAAGCTGAGGGAGCCGGCTCCGGCCTTGGCCAGCCGAGAAAGGGGCTCCCACAGTGCAGTGGTGGGCTGAAGGGCTCCTCAAGTGCCTCCAAAGTGGGAGCCCAGGCAGAGGAGGCGCCCAGAGCGAGCGAGGGCTCTGAGGACTGCCAGCACGCTGTCACCTCTCAATAATACAAAACTCCTTCACTTGCTTCATTTCCATAGGGATATGACAATAGTTCTAAATCTTATTTTAAATCACAACGAAAAATCTTTGGACTTCAGTTTTTCATTACTTCAAAAATTATGTATTCAATAAATATTTGCAGGCCAAGCATGGCGGCTTACACATAGAATCCCAGCACTTCGGAAGGCTGAGGCAGGAGTGTTGCTTCAGATTAGTAATTCAAGATCAGCCTGGGCAACATAGGCAGAATTCATCTGAAAAAAAAAAAAAAAGAAAAGAAAAGAGAGAGAGAGAGAAAGAGAGAGAAAGGGAGGAAGGAAGGAAGAGAGGGAGGGAAGGGTTAGCCTAGTCTGGTGGCATACACCTATAGTCCTAGCTACTTGAGAGGCTTGAGGTAGGAGAATTGTTCGAGTCCAGAAATTTGAGGGTACAGTGAGCTACGATCATGTCACTGCACTCCAGCCTGAGTGACAGAGCAAAACCCTGTCTCTAAAAAAAAATGCAAAATAAATAGTTAAGTTTTAATTAAATGAATGAGTAATTTCTAGTATTTCTATATGTTTACTATTATTATATGAGTTAAAGACCAGATATTATTTCCCACCATAACTATTGAAAGTGAAACTTTTAATTGGTTCATATATATAACAGATATCTTTGGTCTATCTTTTTAGGACATTTAGATCTGCAATTTATTAAATATGTGATAATGGCCAGTTGCTAAACCTCCCTTAATTCAAAATTTCATATATAAAATTTTGAAAAATAGCACCTAAGATTAGTAACTATTTTTAAATAATAAAATCAAATTGACTAATGCATATAAGAGCTTAACAAGTTAATTAATTTTCCATTCATTCATTTCTTTGTGAAAGAACTAGAAAATGATGTTATACCAGGTATGAGCTAGGAAAGAATTCTCATGTTTTAGTATATTTGCATTCTCAAAGGTTCTTCAATTTAAATTAGACATATGCTATCATTTTACAGTGACATAAAACAGGTATAGAAGAATCACATGCAAGGAAAAATAATGTGACTTGCATGTTAGCATTTAATCTTGCCACTTTTTTACATTCTCTGTCAATATATCTTCACATTTAAGAAACAGTTGTGTTTGGGGGTTTTGGGTGGTTTTAGTCTACCAGGCAACTTCTCCCTATAGGTTTGATCCACATCAAAGTTGAATCTCAGATACCATCTAGTGTTCAAGCAGTTTATTCTGGCAGCACCCAGAAGATGCATAGCAGGAGCAGACCGGCAACATAAGCCAGGTACAGTCAGGGGTTCAGATGACTAACTGTCAGGAGAGTCTCTGTCTGGAGACCAATTTCAGAGTTTGGGTAACACTTTCCCCTTTCTTTTACCTGTATTCAGTCCAGGTCAGTTACCAGGTATTTCTGTCATAAAGGGAATCTAAGCTCTTCTTGCAAGGATAGCTTTGTGAGCTTCTGTGCTAAGATCATTCGTGAAAAGTTCTGGAGAAGCCACAATTGGATGTGGAATATCTGGCCACCTGAAGCAACAAAAGGCAATAGGCATGCTAGGGTTTGGAAAACACTATTACATAGAAAGGCAAAAGAAGTTGAACAGGGTTGATGGCAGCAGGTTGGAGTTGTCTTGACTGCACAGAAATGGCAGACCAGTGTGGAGCACAAAGACCAGGTGGTTTCAGAACTTCATAGTAAGGTCTGGAAACACTATGCACTGGAGGTGATGTCACAGATGCAAAGCTTGCTTGTGGAGATTGACCAATCAAACCAAAGTTTCAGGTCTTGTCCATTCCAGAATACTGCCAAGTACAACTGAGATGCCAAGTGTTTACAGGCATACAGGCCATAGAAATGATGCTGTAGGTGGTCCAAGAAAATACTGGGCAAATACACCAGTAAAATTCTTGCCAGGCAGTGATGAAGTTGGGGTTAGTAGGACAAGCGGTGCAACCATCCTGGGCACAGCACGGATGATAGCAGTAAAGGTATCTTCCAACAGGTAGAAAGTCTGTGCTTAATATTCATCATGCACGTGACAAAGCAAGGGACCTGGCAATGCTGGATAAGTGTGGAGGTACACTGGTAGTGACCTCCCTGAAGTGAATTTGTGAGGACAAGGCATAGAAGTGATTGTTCATGAAGCAGCTCCTTGCAGATGGGAAAGACCTGAGCTGGGGTTACGAGCTGCATGAATGTAGAAAAAGCTCTTTGCCTGTAAAGTTGCTACAACATTGGAAGAGTCTGAATAAAAGCTAAGAAGAAAGATGAGGGAGTGTCTGTGGAAGCTGATCAGAAGGGAATCTTTGCTATGTGCTGGTGTGTTGGAAGAAAGTGGAATTTTTGTAAGCAGAGATGAAGGCACATGACACAGGGAGGCCAAATATGGTTAAGCAACCAGTGTTATTAGCCCACAGCATCATTCACCTGGTAGAGTCTGAGGGGAGGGAAAGAAGTAACCATGATGTCCCAGTTTCCACGTATCACAAGAATGACACAGGCATCAGGGATATGGTGCTGTGAGGTCTGTATTGCAGCAAGTGCCTTCCTCCACTAGTAATTGTTAGCATTTTGCCAACCCAGTGGTGGGGGCCCCACAGGGTAAACAATCAAAGTGAAAAGATCAGTTCAATCTGGGCAAAACTCTCCTAAGTAACACAGTAGAATTCTATCAGTGCAGGGCCGACAAGGGGACACTGCCAAGTCAGGCCACTCCGGAAGGGGCTTCGGGAGATGAATCTACAGAAGGTCTGATTGGTCCCAGTGCAGAAGCATGGCAATGGTGTTTGAGAGTTGGTAATTGGGACAGTATATGGGAACACAACTCATGAGCTTCCTGATAGTAGGAGTGGGAGCACAGGGCAGGGTACGACTTTCAAGAGTGGAGATGTAATCATGCTGATATTTTAGTAAGATGAGCAGAGCCTTGTCTTCACTGATCAGTTATTGAATTTTTGGTGGTAATGACCCAAAGGGTACTCATTGGCACAGGGGAGGCAGTTGCTGATCTGGGGTTTGTGGCAGATGAGGTGAAATTAGTAGTAACCAAACCACAAAGTGGAAGGCCCCTACAGAAAGGTTCCCAATGTTGAGCATTGTGCAGAGTGTTATCATCACAATTGTTCCACAGCCCACAGAAGAGGAGGCTCAGAAGGAAAAATGCTAATAAGCAAAAGCAGTGGTGTCAATAGCAAGAGCAAGGATATGTCTATCTACGGGTCCAAATATTATTTGCCCATGTTAACTTACTGTGATAAACAAAGGTCAGGCAATGAGCTTCTAAGAATTTTAGGCTCAATGTGTTCCCGTGGCTGCCAGTAATTGGCTTGCTTTCAATAAGAGTTGATTCCAGAGTTGGTTTTCAGAGGACTTTGCATGGCAGCAACGTGGTGGGCACCATATCTGGAGGTAGAATCGTGTAGGGTGGCCAGTAGCACGTTCATTCTGGTAGTAACATTAACTGGAGGAAGAGAGTTAAGGAGCCTTTGAAGGGATGCTGTGTCCATGGGAGGGTGGCCCAAAGTTGTGGGGAGCATCCCCAAGGGGACAGACAAGGGGAAACATTAGTTGAGGGCCCCTGTCCTGGGGCCAGCAACAACAGCTGTGGCAACATCAAAATCCAGTTGTTCCACATTGGGATAGGCAGGGCAGAGTAAAGGACAAGGCAGAAAGTTTGAAAATACAACAAGTCCTTGGAGATGAGGAGTAGCAGGCCCCAGTGTGTAGCTGTTAATATGGGCCAACACCAGGAGCAGATGTTGGTCAAGAATGAGTCCAGCAGCCAGCTTATTCTCGAAGAAGGACCTTCTTCACTAGCCCATTTATGCTCTCAGTTAGTCCAGCTGTCTGTTGTCTGCTGGTATGGGAGTGAGAGGTCCAAGTGATGCTACTCCAAGTTGATAGTTGAGCTTGTCTGAGATGCCCCAAAATCAGGTGTGTACAGGATAAGACAGCTGGTTCAGGTACCTTATTCTCTACCGCAAGGGCAGAAATGTGGGTAAGCTCATCAACCTTTTTCATATATTTAGAGACAAGATCTTGGCAACTGATATGAGCCTAGACATAGAACATGAAGATAGGCCACATGGTGCAGATACCAGCAATGCATCGCCAAAGGGAAGCACCCCACAATGCCAGTCATGGATTGTCTACTCTGAGGCCACTCAGCTACTAGACCATACAGCTAAGCTATTGGCCACAGCTCGGTCATTGGTAAAGATGTGAATTTCAGGATGGCCTCGGATGGTAGACTGTTCATAAGCCAGAGCATTTCAATCTGTTCATTTTTTTATAACTGGAGTTTTTTTTTTTACTTTTATACCAATGTTTCATTTTGAGGAGTAGTGTAAAATCTGGCACATCAAACTCATGATCTCATGACTATTACAGCTTAACATATGATGAATTAAACATAAGTTGAATTTAAAAAGTACCTAAGAAATGGTGGTAGCCTATAAATATGAGTTGTGTATAAGAATGACTGAAGATAAGGAAATACCTAAGATATTAGAATAATTTTTAATATTATACCTGGCATGCAAGAAAAGCTCAGCAGTATGTCAAGGAAATTAATAAAGAGCAACAAAACACTTTCTTATAGATTATTTTATTTACTCCTGAAGAAAACACACATTTTTATGTATTCTTAAGCCCAATTTTCTGAATTCATCTTCTGTAAAGACACAAGTTTAATATATTGTATCTTTGGTTACTGGTAAAATGCCTAGATATCCAGAGAACTAATAATTCAGCCATGTTACCCTGACATCAAGTTTGGTGCTCATTCTATTGAACTAAATACACAAGATTTTGAGACTTATAACAAAATTTTTAAAGCAGAAGGAAACAGAAATGTTTCTACGGCAAATTACTTACATAAACTTATATCTGAAAAGGGGATGTGCAATGCCTCATGGCCAGCGATGGTAGGCACTGTTATATCAACAAGGAAAGAATCCTGATTGCAGTAGATGCTTTTTAAAACATGTATTACTCCCATTTCTGCATTTAAATTTTTAGCAAACATTTTATGAGTAAATGTCAGAGTCTAAATGTAAGTGACTAGTTGTGATTAAACTTTCAAAGATTAAGTACATATTTCCTTATATGTACTTCTATTAAAAATAAAGATACACTGCCTCAAATGTAAGTTAAAGGCACCCCTGCTGGGAGGAAAGGACAAGAGAACATTAATATCGCACAGTTTGAAATGACAGAATATGGTGTAAATTTTTACTACAATTCAATTTATGGGACCAAATATTAATTTTTATAACCATGCTACCACCAAAATGGCATGCTCTGTATAGTATAAAATATGCTTACTCCTTGCTCCCAAAGTAGTATGAAAAGGAAGATTTTTAACAGAGGTACGTGTGCTATACAAGGAGTGGAGATTCTGCAGCATGTCATTTTGGGCAGCTACAATAGTCTCTCTGCCTGGATTGCCCTTAGCTATGCCTCACATTTTACTTCTCACAGACTATAGAATGTCTAATCTAATAGCTCAGAATTAAAATAACCCACCATTTAACCCTTCTTTCTTTATATAGGCCTAAAAGCATGAAAAGAGTCCCATGCAATCTATGTCAGAGTTCATTTCATCTCCTTAATTTGGGAGACACATGTATCACAAAACTTTTTTTTAAAAGAAAGTGTTGAAACTCAGTAATTTAGTTACTGAGGAATAAGGGTATAAAGAGAGGAACCTTATATAATCACCAATTCAATTTTCTCAAAGAGAGACATAAGAAAAGTGTATTTATAAAATAAATGCAGAAATCAATAAGATAAAAATATGAGATCAGAATTCTTTGAGTTTCAAACATAATCATGAAATTCAGAAATACCATAAAATCATGGAACAAATAATTTAAATACCAAAAATCGAAAGCAGTCAGTTAGGGAAAACAAAGATAAAAAATACCACAGAACTCAGAAAAAACATCCGAAGCTCTCTAACCGCTGATAAAAAGACTAAAGATAATGTAAGATAATCTAGGATGTGAATAATATTTATTATAGCAATTAGAGAAGTAGTGAAGTAAAATTATCTATGAAAGATATGACAGTTCCTGAAAAGAAGTACCAAAACTAACACTATGTAGAGAATAATAAAACTAAATTAAGGGAAAAGAAGTAAGTATAATGGATGTTAAGAATTATTAATGTGGCCAGGTGCGGTGGCTCATGCCTGTAATCTCAGCACTTTGGGAGACTGAGGTGAGTGGATCACTTGAGCCCAAGAGTTCAAGATCAGCCTGGGAAGCATGGCGAAACTCCATCTGTTTAAAAAAGAAAAAAACAAAATGATTAGAAATGTATCAGATAATTAAGGAAAACAATAAAAAATGAGAAGTAGGCATCATCCTCTATGTAAGGAATATCTGAATAATGATGATCATAGTGGCTACAGACTATTCCATTTTTGCCACGTGCCAGGAGCTATATTCTAAGCAAAATTTATAGGTGTATTCTTTAATACTGAAAAAAATCTTATGAGGTGGGTGATGTTTCGGTTGAGATCAAGGAAGGAGTCTGAGCCAGATTATTTCAACTTGAATTCCAATTTTGCCACTTACTGGTTGTGCAATCTGTATAAGTTACCTAAACTTTCCATTTCTCAGTTTCTTTCTCTTTATTTCTCATCAGATTGTTATGAGGAATAAATAAGTTGTCAGGTGAAAATTGCCTGGAATGAGAAGCAACATATAGTAAGCAATGTCAAAATATCAACTTGTCATTATAATCACTATTATTATTTCATGCATATGAGGAGATTACATCACCAATCACAGAGAAGTAAAATAGCTTGCCTAATTTTATAAAACTAGCAAATAATTAATACAATAAATTTACATCTTTAGATTTTGGAGGAAAATATGCAGATAAGAACAGCAAGCCATATACCTTTTCTAAAATTTATTTATTTCTAAAAATAAATATGAAGGTGCAGTTGCAGTGGCTCAGCCTGTAATCTCAGCACTTTGGAAGGCCAAGGCAGGAGGATTGCTTGAGGCCAGGAGTTCAAGACCAGCCTGGGCAACATAGTGAGATTCCCATCGCTACAATTTTTTTTCAATTAGCCATGTGTAGTGGCATGTGCCTATAGACCTAGCTACTGGGGAGGCCGAGGCAGGAGGACTGCTTGAGCCCAGGAATTCAAGCCTGCAGTGAGCCATGATCATGTCACTGCACTCCAGCCTGAGTGACAGAGCAAGACACTGTATCTAAAAATAAAAAATGAAAATAAGTATGTATAACAGAGAAGGGCAGAAGATGGAGATGGGTATATGACAGAAAAATACAAAGCAAACATAAAGGAATAGCATCTTTCCTTACATAATAGCAACAACATTTCGAGGTTCCAGCAGATAAGCAGGAGAAATGATTGTAATGATTTTAAACAGTAACACTCAGGCAGTGTTTGGTTTGTTTTTCCTCTAATCTATGCTCATCATATAGTTGTTTGACCCTACATCATACTTGCACAGGAGATAGAACAATGTTCCTTCCACATGACTTTTACAAATTTCTGTAGCTTGAGCAACCTTCAGTTTTGCCAAGTATAGGGATATATCTTATATCAATTGGTGACATTTCCCAAGTGTTTTAACCAAACCAATATAATGATTACCCAAATCAAGTTTAACATTGAATCCTGACTGAATGACAATTGTCCCTTCAGCTTATATATGTTTGGGGATGAGGGTTAAGTTTCGGTTCATATATTGGCCTCTTAATTAAAGGCAATAGTATCTTGAATACCTTTGCCAGAAGATAATTAGTAATCATGAAAACTTTGTCTCTGTCTTAGGATATTAAGATAAACATTTATATTATACACTTTTAAATCTTAAAATATGATTGTCCTTGATTGAGCCATAAGTCATTTTAAACTGTTTTATAAAGGAAGCAAAATTATTTGCAATATTATTATAATATCACTCAAAACACTAGAATTAGATACTTTTAAAAAAATGTCTTTATATCAATTTTTGACAATTAAATGAACAATGGCCATCCTTCATATTTACTGACATTTACTCTCATAAGAATAGTTTCAAGTATAGAAAGCAAATTATAATATTCACATTTGGAAGATTTCAGAAGCATTCTGACAAAGAAGCATTCCAAAAACTCTATGAAAGTTCCTAATGTGGCTATCTAGTGTATTCCTAACATAGGCACATTAGGAACTTTTGTAGAGTTTTTGTAGTGGAGCTAGTTTTAAAAGCATGCATTACTAATCTTTTTGAATTAATGGAAGGTGTTTTTATTCTAACATCATTCTTTAAGTGTTGGTTCTGGGCAAGTATTATAACTTGTTTCTCTTTTCAATGCTGTATACTTACTTAAAAAGAAATAGATATTTTCTAAATCAAGAAAAAAGATTCTCATATTTTCTTTGAGATATTTTATTCTGTGCAGCTAACCAGATGTCATTGTATGAGCTATAGTCAATTATGGTGTGTTAGCAATGTATACAAAAATAAGGCAACAATGACAATACAAAAGAAAACATGATTGCTTTTGTGTAGGTAAATTAAGATTTAAAGAAGGCGGATATTTAATCTTAGGTGTTTTCTCTCAGCTTTAGTTCAAATTAAATTCAGTATCTTTTTTTGGCCAGCAATATACCTTTTTGTGGCTCACAATGTCCCCTTGTTCATTTTGTACAGGAAGACTTGTGGAGTGGCATGCATGTTTCTGTGGCTTTAAATGGCAATGCGAGCTGTGAAAACAGTCACTTCTGAAGGAGTAACAATTAGTCCTTACACTACGATGGCAAAGAGAAATGAAGCATACTATCTTTAGTACTTGAATGTAAGATTTTTTTTTTGTTTGCCACACATTTATTTTTCAATCTCCTTCCTCTTCCCTTTACTGATAGAAAAATTTTAATAAAAATCTGAAGTCAGTTTAATGCAAACTGAGTCAGCAGAATTTTCTCATTTATTTCTTTTTCATTGACCATTTATATCAGTTCTATATGAACTGTATATATAAATATACACACTTAAAGTATTGTTTTTATCTAAGTGGTAGTTAGGTCATTTATATTACTTTATACTTAAATTAACTTTTTGAAAGTTGAAAAAACTTTAAAGTATACTGATTTTTCAATTAAGTCATGTATGCCTTCTGACCCCATCCCTCTGTATATAAAGATCATTCTTTTTTTAAAAAATAAAATATACCATGTCTATAATATGGTCTCATAAGGGCCTATGGCCCACTGTAACACCTCATAGAGATCCAAACTTCACAAATAGAATAGAAATGTGTTCTAGCTCTATCTCAGGTCTTTTCTCTAGTACTCCATTGTATCCTTTGAAGATAATCTCGTCTTAGTCCATTTTCTGCTGCTATAACAGAATACCACGCATGGAATAATTTATAAAGAAACGAGTTTTATTGGGCTTATGGTTCTGGAGGCTGGGAAGTCCAAGATCAGGGGGCTACATCTTGTGAGAGCCTATGTGTGGCATCATAACATGGCCAGAGACCATGCAAGCGCTCAAGAAAGATTTTATAACAGAAGCACTCCTGCCATAACTAACCCATTCCCATGTGGCATTAATCGATTCATGAAGGCAGAACCCCCATGATCTTGTCACCTTTTAAAAGTCCCACATCCTAATAATGCTGCAATGACAATTAAATTTTAACATGAGTTTTGGAAGAGACATTCAAACCATAGCAGCCTCTAATTTAGAAGAATCACCTTGGAAAGTATCTCATGACCCTCAAGTCCATTGAATTATGTGTGCACCTATTCGCAAAAGACATCAAATGTTCTATTGGACTCCAGCCTTTGCCAACATGTCCTACTGCAAACACAGGCACAGGTACAAGCAAACACACACACACACACACACACACACACACACACACACACACAGAGACACACCAGTTTTATTAAGTGTGAAACAGCATTATGTCTAAAAAGCAACGTACATGCATTAATTAAAATACTTTACTTTTTAAAAATTCAAATGTTCATCTGAGCTTTCGTCAAGCTTTAATCTTTTTTCTGGTGGAGGGCCTTGCCTACATATTGATGGCTGGTGACTGATCAGTATGGTGGTTACTGAAGGATGCAATGCCTGTGGCAATTTCTTAAAATAAGTCGACAATGAAATTTGCCACATCAGTGGACACGTCCTTTCAGGAAGGATTACTCTGTAGCATGCTGCTTGATAGTATTTTATCCACAGTTGAACTTCTTTCAAAACTGGAGTCAATCCTCTCAAAACCTGCTGCTACTTTATCAACTAAATTTATATAATATTCTAAGTCCTTCTTTGTCATTCCAGCAATGTTCACAGCCTCTTCACCAGGAATAGATTCCATCTAAAGATACAAATTCCTTTACTCATCAAGACTTGCTCAATGCGGGGTTGCCACAAACATCCAATTTGTAAAAAGCACAATAAAATGAATTTCCATATAATGAGTTATGCCTGTATATCAACAATCCAAGTCTATCACTTGCTTTTCTGATTTGATTGATCCAGTTCTTAGTGGGTTGGGTAAAGCTTGACATGTTTGGAAATAGTTTCTTACTAATATTAGCAATGTCCGTTTTTGACTTTGAAACCTGACAAGATAATTATAGTGAAAAATGAAGATAAACTTGCTAGGGTCAGTTAGTTATATAGAGTTAGAGAAAATTTCTAATGTGGAAATTTACATTAGAAACTAACCTTTATTTATGCTACCAATTTACCACAGTCTCTATGCAATAATTTTTACTTGATTCCTAAGTGCATATAATGCTTGCAAATACCAAATCAAAACATAAATAGTGTTTTATCCATATTTCTGTTAATTTACTATTCGATTATTGAGCAAAATTTAAAAATTTGTCTAATTTAGATTTTTTTGTTACTGTATGCTGTACTTTTTTTGTTAACATATCAAAGTAGATTTGAAAAAAGATAAAAAGAAGCAAGGGTAAGTGGTAGTCATCCTTGATGATAGTTATTTCTTTACTAAACTGTAAGACTACTTAAATTGAGGAATCTTTTTATCTATAATCTTAAGACAAATCACATTTATTACAAATTTATATGGCACTGCCATTTCTTTAGTTATATTGTGTTTACAATGATAGGACTGTACTTTATATGCAGAACAGCCTATATCCCACCTTCCACGTCTCTGAGGTAGAATCAATGAATGTGATTCTTCCCTGAATCAGTTCTGGCCACATCACTGTTCTAAATAAAATTCTCCACTGAGAAAATAGATAGTAAAAAAAAAATCAGAAAACATGAAAAATAACAGCCCCACAATTTTCTGTTGTATTATGGTGTTGAGGGTCTCTGTCCCTTGCAGAGGAGTTAATATTTTGTAAGAGTCTTCAGGGTTGCATGGGGAGAGGAAGTATAAGGACAATTTGATCAATTTGTAACCTCCAAAGTCTCTACAAGGTCAATGTTCTTTGTATTTGTTTAACAGGTGTTTATCTCATACTCATTTATCTTAAAACTTAGCTCCTTATTCATTATCATGTTTTTCTAGCCAAAATAACTGGGGCCCCTTCTCCTGCTTTAGTTATTCTAACTTTTGAATATATGATGTTTGCCTTATGATCAAGTGATACTGCCTTGCTTATTCCTGCATTTTTCTAAAATTCTAGTTAAGAGTAGACAATGGAGCACACAGAAATGATGTAAATTAAGGGACAGCTGGATGACAAATGCTTCAAAGATCACTTTTATACTCTTATAGTGAATCTGAATGTGGAGGAGTCAGTGCATTCCTGGTAGAGGGAACAACATTTGTAGACATATTTATTTCAGAAAAAAACATTATGTGAGTCTAAATATATGTTTGTGGAAATAGTAAATACATTTGTATAATTTAAGTCAGTATTAGAGACAATAAGAGGTAATCCAGGTCAGGTAGACAGAGGCCACATTAGACTAAAAAGAAACAAAAACAGAAAACCAAAAACTTGTTTCTTAGCATATGAGAATGTGGATTTCATCCTGTATGAGAGATTCTAAATAAGGATCACCATAGCAAAATTGTTCTGAAAACAGGGCTGAAGATAATTAAAAACATTAATGTAATGATTTATTTTAAAGTACAGTTTACACAGGGTATTCAAACATATATTAACAACAACCTTTTGATATAGAAAGAGTATCCACAAATCTTCATTTGGTGGCATCAGCAACACTACTACTTGTCTACTGTTGTTGATGAATGTACACACTTCAAACTTACATCTTTTAACCCACATATAATAATTAATTTCATGCCCAATCCTGCCTTTTTAATAACACTAATAGCTAATACCTGCAAAGTATTCAAGATGTAGTAAACACTGTTTCAAGAAGTTGGCATTTATTAAAAAAATTTAATTTTGCTTCTAAGACTATAAAACAAGTAATACTATTATTTCCAATTCACAAATGAGGAAATATGATATAAAAACATGAAGTTAAGCTGCCCTCGGTGTTAAAACACACTAAATATGGACTCTGTACTTCTGTATTTTAGTCCTTGTGGATGAACTGTAACCTAGCTTAATAGTCAGATAAAATTGAAAACCTAACTTAATAGTATGCACCCATAACAATAGCTGAGTGTTGGCCAATCCCAGTGGCCATACTTCAACCGCTCATAGACTGCTGTGTTCAAATTATATTGAACTGCATTCAAATAAGGCAAACACCAAGCTGTAACCAATCTCGCTGTTTCTGTACCTCATGTCTGATTCCTATACATCACTTTACCTTTTTTTGTGTATAAATTTGTTCCGACTACTAGGTACCCCTGGAATCTCTGTGAATCCACTCTGATTCTGGGGGCTGCTCAATTTGCGAATCATTCATTGCTCAATTAAACTCCTTTAAATTCAGCTGAAGTTTTTCTTTTATCAAAAGTCATCCTTCTAATATATAGTGGAGCTAAGATACTAACCCAAAAATTATGCCTCAATAGTCCAAACTTTTAAGTGCAATTTCAAAACACCTCTTCCTTGATCATAGTAACATTCTCTCTTCTGTATGTATTATTGATAGAAAATTACTAAACATAAAAAAAAATCTCGTTGCATCTCTGTATATAGTCGTATTTTTGCAAATATACAGTGCAGTTAAATTTAGTGTGAGAGCTTTTCTTCACTAGACTCACAGAACCCAGACTATCCAAAAGATATTGAGATATACAGTATTATTTCCTGCTATGGTTTGGATGTGGTTTTTCTCTGCTAAAACTCATGTTGAGATTTGATGCCCCTTGTAGCGGTGTTGGGAGGTGGGGCCTGGTGGGAAGTGTCTGGGTCATGGGGTAGATCCCTCATGAATAGATTAATGTCCTCTCAGAAGGGTAAGTTCTCACTCTTGTAGGAATGCACTAGTTAAAAATAGTCTGGCTTCTTTGGTTTCTTTCTCTTGTTTTCTTGCTAGCCATATGATCTCCTTGCACACTCCCACTCCCCTTCCACTTTCTATTATGAGTGGAAGCAGCATGAGACCCTCACCAGATGCAGCTGCCCAGACTTGGACTTTTTGACCATCAGAATTGTGAGCCAAATAAACATCTTTTCTTTATAATACCTAGACTCAAATATTCTGTTATAGCAACTTAAAATGAACAATTACATTTCCATAATTATAGAGAAAAACAACTGAGCTCCTAAGGAAGAAATACACTGAGGCGCAAGTATTTTTACTAGCCTCAACTCACTGCTAGCTTATACATAAACTTACAGGAATGTGCCCCTGGATTTTCTCTATTGGCTACTTCATTACCAATACAAAATCAGTCCCCTAGTGAATGACATTTCCATAAAATGTAAAACATAACTTACTCTTCATCAATTCACTATGTAAGCTTTATATTTCATTATAAATAGTATGTCTATCTATATAAAATATTGTGTCCATATTATTCTAAGATCACATAACTGTCTGGTAGCCTGGTAAGGCATCCCGACACTTGGAGATATTTTTAAATGATACAATAATTTATCCTTAATACAAATATTAACATAAATAGTAACTCATATAAATCTCAGAATTTTTATTGATCATAAAGTAAATTCCATGTCTTTACTTGGTGAATTTAACCATTCCTAATGATTGGTCCTGTGGGAACACCATTCTTTTTTTTTTGTTTTTGAGGCGGAGTCTGGCACTGACACCGGGACTGGAGTACAGTGGTACCATCTCAGCTCACTGCAACCTCCACCTCCTGGGTTCAAGTGATTCTCCTTCCCCAGCCTCTCAAGTAGCTGGGAGTACAGGCGCCCACCACCACGCTCAGCTGATTTTTTGTATTTTTAGTAGAGATGGGATTTCACTATGTTGGCCAGGCTGGTCTCAAACTCCTGACCTCATGATCTGCCCACCTTGGCCTCCCAAAGTGCTGGGATTACAGGCGTGAGCCACCAGGCCCTGCTGGGAACACCATTCTTTAAAGAGTTAATGAAGAAGATTGAGGAGTAGCCAGGAAGTCGAAAACTTTACTGCACACTTTACTGAAAGTAGAAAAGCAGGGCATTTCTAGAGGAAGGTTGACCTACAGCATCGACCACCGATAAGTCAATTAGGGCAATAAACCACAAGTTACTAACACATTTTGAGAACCATTCAACCTCTAACACTTCAGTATGTTTATCTCTAAAAGTGATACATTCTGACCATGCAGAATTGAGTTAAACTATCCACTGCTGAACAAGACCTAAACAGTCACAACTCATTCTTTCTTTGCTCATTGAAAACAAAATACCTAAAGACAGAAAACAAAATACACAGTGATTTTTGTTTCCCATTTAGTGTTCTTCTCACAACATAGCTCACTATCTTTGTGAAAATATTAATCGGTACCTTAATCTAAGTCTTACTTACTTTACCAACTGATGTGGAAAATAATATTTAAAATTATTTTTAAAGTCTTAAAATGTTGTTGTAAGGATTAAATCAGTGCAGTTTGACTGCTTAAGAGACTTTGAAACAGTGAGTACCATCAAATTGGATGTTGCTGCTGCTGTTGATGATAATGATGATGATAAAATAATAATTATTATAATAATGTTATTTCAATGTCGTTATGAGGATGCAGTACATGTGTTGCTTAAGATTATTTTGTTTTTCTTTTCTGTGTCCAACAAGCCTCCTCATCAATTTAATGGATCATTTTAGGTAAATGCTGAAAAATTGAATAAGAAATCCTGAGAATATCAGTTTTATAAACAATGAAATATTAATATTTACATTGCTGAAAAGACTTGCTTTAATTTTTCCATTGACCTTTTGTTGGAGCTTTCAGTAAACATATGTAATTTTGTACTCTAAATTTAATCAATTGTGACATTAACAGTTCACTAGAAAAATAAATTAAACTATTTTGGAAACTGGATTTATAATACTCTCAGAGAATGTCATCATTGGAAAGGAGGGAGGTAACAAAATGGAGAGGGATTATATTTTAATATGAATAAAGAACAACAATTTATATTTGACCTATTATTCTTTGACGGGCAATATATTGAATGACTGTTAATTACGTATAATATAACACATAAGCAGTAGTTTGGATTTAGAATTTTCAGAATCTAATTTTAGTAATGTAGCTAACAAGAAGAAATACTTTCATTAAATTTGAAACAACATTTTAATGTTTTTATTTGAAATTAATGTTTGGACTATTTTAATGCATACATCTATTTGTAATTAACTATTTTCATCTCTTTTTTTCCCTTACTAATATCCATTTCTTACATAATGTCATACTCTGTCTATTCCACAGTACCAACATTTTCATAAACTGGATGTAAATGGTTTCCCTTCAGTGATATAAAATAAATAGGCTTCTGATTCCAGTAGAGGAATTCACTGCCCCTAAAGTGTTACTTTCCTCCTAAATTTTTCACTTCTATAGCTTTAGCAGAATCTAAGTGACTAAAAGGACAATATTTTAGATCATTACACCTTCCTTTCAAATTGAAATGCCACTCTACTTTCCTTCTGATCGAATCACTAGTAGTTTGTGTGTCCAGTTAAAAGCTGAACACCAAGTGCAGAAAATATACTGTATAGTCCTTCTGTCTTCACCCTTACAAGAAAGCTATAACTTGCACAACAAGTTATACTATAAATCCTAACATCTAATCTCATTGAATAGCTGAATGTATTAAATGAAAATTGACTGCAACTATTTTCCGAGGGAATTCAATCTCAATACAGAGGAGCATTTCTGGTAAGCCAGACAGTTGCAATATATTTAGTCTCTCAAGTTCATGCAGCATAAAAAAGTTTTTGATGTAAGGCTTTTATGTTTTAAATTTTTTCCTACCAATTTATCATGCATTAGCTTATAAAACATATACCAATTATCACAAATGCAAAGCACTGGATTTAAAGTATCAGCACTCATTGAAATTCACTAAGATATTTGATATTTAATGTTGGTATACTTTTTGCTCAGTGTTCTTAAGAAACCAAGTGATTCCTTTTGAAACCTAATATCAAGATTTCCCACTTGTTAAATGAAATGGTTGCAGTTTATTTTCAGCTTTCTAATGTTAGAAATATGACATTTTAAAAAGTAAACATGACTTTACACAATAAATATGAAATGAAGAATATCATCATGATAAAGTAATACATAATAAATCAAAAGATTTGAAAATATTCCAAATTTATCTGAAACAAACATTAAAAACTTCAAAGTCTTAATGTCAGAAAAAGGTCAGAACACTATAAAATACATGCCTTGACAATGTTCTCAAATAGAGATCAGGAACATTTTTTAAACTAGACTTTCTGCATTTCTTAAGACAATTACAAATTTGATTCTCTGCTTATGGTTTGTTTCTTTTATTTTGTTCTTTTCTTCTTCCCTTCCTTCCCTTCTTCCTTCCTTCCTTTCTTCCTTCCTTCCTTCCTTCATTTTTTCCTTTTTTTCTTTCCCAAGAGCTATGAATTCTATCTTGTCAGGACAAATTTTATCTAATTTTTGCTAAGACCCTGTTCACAAAAAATTAAACTAACATTTATAAAATGCTTAAGATGTGGCAACATTGTTTCAAGAATGTTAAACAGTAAATTTTAAAAAAGTGAACGTACAAGATTATCTCCACAACATAAAATTTAAAGCTGAAAGACAGACATTACAAGTGCGAATGAGAATATGCTGCAAATAGAATGCTCATTTACTTCTGGTGAGAGTTAAAATTGGAGAAAACAATTGTGAACACCTTTATATTGCATCTAATAGAGGTAAATGCTAGCTGTTAGCCTAGAAATTTCACTGCTAAGTACATTCCATCAGGAATGTAAACATATGTTCCCTAAAAGAAATGCACAAATGTGTGTATACACATATTCCTCATAATAGCCCAAAACTAAAAATCAGTGCTAAACAACACTAAAAAAGGTAAGTAAATTATCGTATATTAACACAGTGGAATATTTGTCAGCAGTGAGAAAGAACAAATTACCACTTTGCAGGGATAATATTTTGCTTGTGCAAAAATATGATAGACTCTCACAAATATAATGTTAAGCAAAAGAAACCAGGTATTAAAAAGTGCATACTGTATGATAGTGATTTTTACAAAGTTTAAATATAGGCAAACAAATATATGATATTAGAAATCAATTGGGGCTTGGCATGGTGACTCACGCCTGTAATCCCAGCACTTTGGGAGGCCGAGGTGGGTGGATCACTTGCGGTCAGGAGTTCCAGGCCAGCCTGGCCAGCATGGTGAAACCTTGCCTCTCTTAAAAATACAAAAATTAGATGGGTATGGTGGTTGGCGCCTGTAATCCCAGCTACTCGGGTGGAGAATCGCTTGGACCCAGGAGGTGGAGGTTGCAGTGAGCCAAGATCATGCCACGGCACTTCAGCCTAGGCGACAGACAGAAACTCCATCAAAAAAAAAAAAAGTCAATTGGCAGAAGAACTGGAAGTCGATGACATGGACATATAGGAAAATTCTGGGATTCTGGGGTGCCAAAATAATATTTGGGAGCATTCTATTTATTGGTTTATTTTTATTATTATATAATAGTTGTACATATTTTGGGGGTACATAGAGTGTTTTGATACATTCATACAATACATAAAGATCAAACCAAGGGAATTGAAACATCCATCGCCCCAAATATTCACCCCTTCTTTATGTTGGGAACATTCTAAAGCCTCTGATCCAGCAATTTCGCACTATACAATGAATTATTGTTAACTATAGTCACCTCTTCTATGCTCTTGAGTGCTAGGTCTTATTCCTTCTATCTAATTTTATGTTTGTATTTATTAATCAACCTCTCCTCATTTCCCCCTCTTCCCTACCCTTGGCAGCTTCTAGTAGTCATCAATCAGCTCTTTATCTTTATGAGATCCACTTTATTCAGCTCCCAGATATAAGTGAGAATATGTGGTGTATGCCTTTTCCTGCCTGGCTTATTTCACTTAACATAATGACCTCCAGTTCCATCCATGTTGTTGCAAATGTCAGATTTTTTTTCTTTTTCATGGCTGAATGATATTCTGTTGTGCATATGTACCGCATTTTCTTTATTCATCCAACCACTGATGGACTCAGGTTGATTCCATATCTTGGCTATTGTGAGTACTGTTGCAATAAACAGGGGAGTGCAGGTATCTCTTCAATACATGGATTTCCTTTCTTTCAGATGTATACCCAGGAGTGGGATTGCTGGATCATATGGTAGTTATACTTTTAGTTTTTTGAGAAACCTCCTTTCAGTATGGGAACATTTAGGGTTGTAAATAGTAAAGATTACAAGGTTCAAGAATATATTGGGAGCTGTTACTGTACCATAGGGTGATGTGAACATAGTCTATAGGAGCCAACTTGACGTTTGTGTGTCCAGATTGCCACGCTTAGTCCATCTGATGGATTTCAATCCATGGAAGGGGACTCTTGTCCTGGGATGTCATTAAAGTTCCTCTTCCATTCTGCTGGCATGGATTATTTGCATTGAATATCAGCAACTGTGTATGCCTGCTGCTTTGTTCCTGGGCCTTTGACTTTAAGGGTACAGAGCCCCCTCATAGTGTTAGGGAATTCATGAGGAAACTTGATTTCCTAAAATTTTAATTGAGTCATCTTCTGCCTGTAGAGAAGCAAAATGCCAGATACTTCTTTAATCTTTGCGTCACTTTACTACATGCCTCATGCTATTCTCTGCGGCACTTAGACTGAGCCCAGTTGTTCTTTGGAAACTTGTCAAAAAAAATGACTTTTTAAGAATGAGCTCAAGAATCTCATCATAAAATGAGATTTTAAAAGTAATCCTATTAGATTATGCTTAGGTATGTTTTACTAACAATAATTAATTTACCTATTGATATTTTAAAATTGTGTTATAATTTTATGTTTTAAAACACCACTTTTCTACATATTCTGCTTGATAACAAAAATGTCAGGTGTTTAAAATAAGTATCCTAAAGTTTTCAAGGCATGACTTTAGTTAAGAAATATAAAGCAAATTGGAATAATATATTTAAGCTATTTTGAAAGAGTCTTTACATTTTCTGTTATGTTTAATCTGACAGTAAATGTCAGCTGAGTTTCTGATGTTTCAAAGTATTAATTGGAAATTTATTTCAAACTTTCTCTATAAAAGTTTGACTATGGCATTATTTTTAATCTTTGGATTTTATTATCATTAATGAAGTTATGAATATGACCTATAACATTGAATAAAGGTATCCTAGCACAAATGAATCATTCCATAATTTCAAAACAACATGAAATGTACACAAAATGAAATAGTAAGCAAACATGCTGATTAAAAATGCATCAATACAAAATTTAAAGCCTGCATATTATTTTTGTTACTTGAAAGGAACAAATTGACTTTTTATTCTTGGAAAATAAGTATTCTCTAATATATTTGTTGAATAATAATCAATGTTAAATTCCTAAGTGTACTTGAGTCTCGTATGGTTAGATTTAGTATAAGGAAATAGAACTTGGAAAGGCATTTAGTAGACTAGAGGATGGTTAACAACACAGACTCTGGAGTTAAAATGTCAAAGATGAATCCTAGTTCCAGCATCACATTGGGTGCCTGAGTCTACAAATGAACAATTATTTCATAAAGCTTTTGTGAGGATTAAATAAATTAAAATACAGAGTGATAACAGTGTGTCTAGGGTATAAGAAGTGGTTAGTTGGCAGAACTGTTTTAGGAAACACTCTCCTACCCTTCTTAAACACTCTCCCCTATTATGACCCTTGGAAGATAATGGCTTAGTTCAAATTGATATTATATATAAAAAACTAATGAGTCTCTTGAAGCAAATTAAATGTGAAGTCAATATTCCATTTAAATAAATCTTAATGATGTATTTCAGAGAAGAAAAGATTCTGCTCTAATATCTCTAAGAAATCTGACCATTGACTCAATAGCTATTTTGTAATTTAGGGTATGCAGCAGTGTTAATTTTAATTTTTATAACTCTAGAAACATATGAGACTGTTAAAGCTTAATAAAATACTTCATTATAAGACTTCCATTTTAGCTGTTGAAGATTTCCTAAGTTTTTATAGGAGTATTTTCTATTAAACTATAGAAATGCCTGTGTAAGTCTTCAATACATATGAGTGTGAAGGGTGGAAATATATCATGAATGTCAAATATTAACATATTATGATAATTTTAACCTTTTTAAAGGATTTTTACTTCATTCTCCATTTACTAAACATGTTTAATCATATTTTGCTCTTTTGTTCTGGTCATTGTCACTATTGTCTGTATTAATCTTCTTATAAATGTTCTCAGCAGCAGTATTCAAACATGGTTTGCCACTCAGTCACAGAACCTGATATGCATTAGGAATAATCAGTACTCATCCTGCATCTAACCCAGAGTCTCTATTTATGAACATGTATTAAATCCAAGTATCATTTAATAAAGAAAATTGTCTCAATCCTGATTAAGATGGCCGAATAGGAGCCTCTCCAGTCTGCAGCTCCCAGCGAGATACATGCAGAAGGTGGGTGATTTCTGCATTTCCATCTCAATGGGACTGGTTGGACAGTGGGTGCAGCCCGCGGAGGGTGAGCCGAAGCAGGGTCGGGAGTTGCCTCACCCAGGAACTGCAAAAGGTCAGGGAATTTTCTCCCCTACCCAAGGGAAGCCATAAGGACTGAGCCTGAGGAACTGGGGACTCTGGCCCAGATACTGCATTTGTCCCACCATCTTCGCAACCCACAGACCAGGAGATTCCCTGCGGTGCCTATCCAACCAGGGCCCTCAGTTGCAAGCACAAAACTGGGTGGCCATTTAGGAAGACACTGAACTAGCTGCAGGAGTTTGTTTTTTTTTCCCCCCACATACCCCAGTGGCACCTGGAATGCCAGTGAGACAGAACTGTTTATTCCCCTGGAAAGGGGTGCTGAACCCAGGGAGCCAAGTGGTCTGGCTCCATGGGTACCACCCCCATGGAGCCCAGCAAACTAAGATTCACTGGCTTGAAATTCTTGCTGCCAGCACAGCAGCAGTCTGAGATCAACCTGGGAAGGTTGAGCTTGGTGGGGGGAGGGTGTCCACCATTGCTGAGGCTTGAGTAAGTGGTTTTATGCTCACAGTGTAAACAAAGCCACCAGGAGTTCGAACTGGGCGGAGCTCACCTCAGCTCAGCAAGGCTACTGTGGCCAGACTGCCAGATTTCTTCTCTCTGGGAAGGGCATCTCTGAAAAAAAGGCAGCAGCCCCAGTCAGGGACTTATAGATAAAACCCCCATCTACCTGGGACAGAGCACCTGGGGAAGGGGCAGCTGTGGGTGCAGCTTCAGCAGACTTAAACGTCTCTGCCTGATGGCTCTGAAGAGAGCAGCGGACTTCCCAGCACAGCGTTCAAGCTCTGCTAAGGGTCAGACTGTCTCCTCAAGTGGGTCCTTGACTCTCATGTGTCCTGACAGGGTGACACCTCCCAGTAGGGGCTGACAGACACATCATACAGGAGAGCTCTGCCTGGCATCTGGCAGATGACCCTCTGGGACAACGCTTCCAGAGGAAAGAACAGGCAGCAATCTTTGCTGTTCTGCAGATTCCACTGGTGATATCCAGGCAGACAGGGTCAGGAGTGGACCTCCAGCAAACTCCAGCAGATCTGCAGCAGAGGGGCCTGACTGTTAGAAGGAAAACTAACAAACAGAAAGAAATAGCAAGTCCACTCAAAGACCCCACCCGAAGGTCACCAACATCAAAGACCAAAGGTAGATAAATCCACAAAGATGGGGAGAAACCAGCACAAACAGGCTGAAAATTGCAAAAACCAGAATGCCTCTTCTCCTCCAAAGGATCACAACTCCCCACCAGCAAGAGAACAAAACTGAACGGAGAATGAGTTTGTTGAATTGACAGAAGTAGGCTTTAGAAGGTGGGTAATAACAAACTCCTCCTAGCTAAAGAAGCATGTTCTAACCCAATGCAAGGAAGCTAAGAACCTTGAAAAAAGGTTGGACAAATTGCTAACTAGAATAACAAGTTTAGAGAAGAACATAAATGACCTGATGGAGCTGAAAAACACAGCACGAGAACTTTGTGAAGCATACACAAGTATCAATAGCCAAATCGATCAAGTGGAAGAAAGGATATCGGTGATTGAATTTCAACTTAATGAAATAAAGTGAAAAGACAAGATTAGAGAAAAAAGAATAAAAATGAGCAAACAAAACCTCCAAGTAATATGGGACTATGTGAAAAGAGCAAATCTATGTTTGATTGGTGTACCTGAAAATGACAGGGAGAATGGAACCAAGTAGGAAAACACTCTTCAGGACATTATCCAGGAGAACTTCCCCAAACTAGCAAGGCAGGCCAACATTCAAATTCAGGAAATACAGACAAAAACCACAAAGATACTCCTTGAGAAGAGCAACCCCAAGACACATAATCGTCAGATTCAGCAAGGTTGAACTAAAGGAAAAAATGTTAAGGGCAGCCAGAGAGAAAGGTCGGGTTACCCACAAAGGGAAGCCCATCAGAATAACAGTGGATCTCTCTGCAGAAACCTTACAAGCCAGAAGAGAGTGGGGCCAATATTCAACATTCTTAAAGAAAAGAATTTTCTACCCGGAATTTCATATCCAGCCAAACTAAGCTTCATAAATGAAGGAGAAATAAAATCCTTTACAGACAAGCAAATGCTGAGAGATTTTGTCACCACCAGGCCTGCCTTACGAGAGTTCTTGAAGGAAGCACTAAACACTGAAAGGAACAACTTGTACCAGCCACTGCAAAAACATACCAAATTGTAAAGACTGTCAATAGTATGAATAAACTGCATCAACTAACAGGCAAAATAACCAGTTAGTATTATAATGACAGGATCAAATTCATACATAACAATATTAATCTTAAATGTAAATTGGCTAAATGCCCCAATTAAAAGACACAGACTGACAAACTGGATAAAGAGTCAAGACCCATTGTTGTGCTGCATTCAGGAGAGCCATCTAACGTGCAAAGACACACATAAGCTCAAAATGAATGGGTGGAGGAATATTTACCAAGCAAATGGAAAGAAAAAAAAGCAGGGCTTGCAATCCTAGTCTCTGATAAAACAGACTTTAAACCACAAAGATTAAAAAAAGACAAAGAAGGGCATTACATAATGGTAAAGGTATCAATGCAACAAGAAGAGCTAACTGTCCTAAATATATATGCACCCAATGCAGGAGGACCCAGATTCATAAAGCAAGTTCTTAGAGACTTAAAAAGAGAATTAGTCTCCCACACAATAACAGTGGGAGACTTTAACACCCTACTGTTAATATTAGACAGATCAACAAGACAGAAAATTAACAAGCATATACAGGACTTGAACTCAGCTCTGGACCAAGTGGACCTAATAGACATCTACAGAACTCTCCACCACAAATCAACAGAATATACATTCTTCTCAGCACCACATCACATTTATTCTAAAATAGACCTCATAATTGGAAGAAAATGCTCCTCAGCAAATGCAAAAGAATGGAAATCATTACAGTCTCTCAGATCACAGTGCAAAAAAATTAGAACTTAGGATTAAGAAACTCACTCAAGGCCGGGTGCAGTGGCTCACGTCTGTAATCCCAGAACTTTGGGAGGCTAAGGCGGGCAGATCACGAGCTCAGGAGATCAAGACCATCCTGTCTAACACAGTAAAACCCCATCTCTACTAAAAATATAAAAAATAGCTGGGTGTGGTGATGGGCGCCTGTAGTCGCAGCTACTTGGGAGGTTGAGGCGGGAGAATGGCATGAACCCAGGTGGCAGAGCTTGCAGTGAGCTGAGATCGCGCCACTGCACTCCAACCTGGGCAACAGAGCGAGACTGTCTTTGAAAAAAAAAAAAAAGGAAACTCACTCAAAACCACACAACTATATGGAAACTGAACAACCTACTCCTGAATGAGTACTGGGTAAATAATGAAATTAAGACAGAAATAAAGAAGTTTCTTGAAACCAATGAGAACAAAGACACAGCGTTCCAGATTCTCTGGGACACAGCTGAAGCAGTGTTTAGAGGGAAATTTATAGCACTAGATGCCCACAAGAGAAAGCAGGAAATATCTAAAACTGACACCCTAAAATCAAAATTAGAAGAACTAGCAAAGCAACAGAAACAAATTTGAAAGCTA
Organism: Homo sapiens; assembly: GCF_000001405.40. NCBI lineage: Eukaryota > Metazoa > Chordata > Mammalia > Primates > Hominidae > Homo > Homo sapiens. The sequence goes on from NC_000013.11 coordinate 81,365,954, forward strand.
GCAGAAGACAAGAAATAACTAAGATCAGAGAAGAACTGAAGGAGATAGAGACACAAAAAAACCCTTCAAAACATCAATGAATCCAGGAGCTGATTTTTTTGAAAAGATCAACAAAATAGATAAATCGCTAGTCAGACTAATAAAGAAGAAAAGAGAGAAGAATTAGATAGATGCAATAAAAAATTATATAGGGATATCACCACTGATCCCACAGAAATACAAACTACCATCAGAGAGTACTATAAACACCTCTATGCAAATAAACTGGAAAATCTAGAAGAAATGGATAAATTCCTGGACACATACACCCTCCCAAGACTAAAGCAGGAAGAAATCAAATCCCTAAATAAATAGATAACAAGTTCTGAAATTGAGGCAGTATTTAATAGCCTACCAACCAAAAACAGTCCAGGACCAGACAGATTCACAGCTGAATTCTACCAGAGGTACCAAGAGGAGCTGGTACCATTCCTTCTGAAATTATTCCAAACAATAGAAAAAGAGGGAATCCTCCCTAACTCATTTTATGAGGCCAGCATCATCCTGATAACAAAGCCTGGCAGAGACAAAACAAAAAAAGAAAGATTTCAGATAAATATCCCTGATGAACATCAATGCAAAAATCCTCAATAAAATACTGGTAAACTGAATCCAGCAGCACATCAAAAAGTGTATCCACCACAATCAAGTCGGCTTCATCCCTGGGATGCAAGGCTGTTTCAACATATGCAAATCAATAAACGTAATCCATCACATAAACAGAACCAACAACAAAAACCACATGATTATCTCAATAGATGCAAAAAAGGCCTTCGACAAAATTCAACAGCCCTTCATGCTAAAAACTCTCAATAAACTTGGTATCGATGGAATGTATCTCAAAATAATAAGAGCCATTTATGACAAACCGACAGCCAATATCATACTGACTGGGCAAAAACTGGAAGCATTCCCTTTGAAAACTGGCACAAGACAGGGATGCCCTCTCTCACCACTCATATTCAACATAGTATTGGAAGTTCTGGCCAGGGCAATCAGGCAAGAGAAAGAAATAAAGTGTATTCGAATAGGAGGAGAAGAAGTCAAGTTGTCTCTGTTTGCAGATGACATGATTGTATATTTAGAAAACCCCATCATCTCGGCCCAAAATCTCCTTAAGCTGATAAGCAACTTCATCAAAGTCTCAGGATACAAAATCAATGTGCAAAAATCACAAGCATTCCTGTACATCAAGAACAGACAGAAAGCCAAGTCATGAATGAATTCCAATTCACAACTGCTACTAAAAAAATAAAATACCTAGGAATACAACTTACAAGAGATGTGAAGGACTTCTTCAAGAGAACTACAAACCACTGCTCAAGGAAATAAGAGAGGACACAAGCAAATGGAAAAACATTCCATGCTCATGGATAGGAAGAATCAATATCATGAATATGCCCATATTGCCCAAAGTATTTTATAGATTTAATGCTATTCCCATAAAGCTACCATTGACTTTCTTCACAAAATTGGGAAAAACTACTTTTAAACTTCATATGGAACCAAAAAAGAGCCCACATAGCCAAGACAATCTTAAGCAAAAAGAACAAAGCTGGAAGCATCATGCTACCTGACCTCAAACTATACTACAAGGCTACAGTAACCAAAACAGCATGGTACTGGTACCAAAACAGATATATAAACCAATGGAACAGAACAGAGGTCTCAGGAATATCACTACACATCTACAACCATCTGATCTTTGACAAACCTGACACAAACAAGCAAAGCAGAAAAGATTCCCTACTTAATAAATGGTGTTGGGAAAATTGGCTAGCCATATGCAGAAAATTGAAACTGGACCCCGTCCTTACACCTTACACAAAAATCAACTCAGCATGGATTAAAGAGTTAAACATAAGACCTCAAACCATAAAAATCCTAAAAGAAAACCTGGGCAATACCATTGAGGACATAAGCATGGGCAAAGACTTCATGTCTAAAACACCAAAAGCAAAGGCAACAAAAGCCAAAATAGACAAATAGGATCTAATTAAACTAAAGAGCTTCTGCACAGCAAAATACACTATCATCAGAGTGAACAGGCAACCTACAGAATGGGAGAAAATTTTGCAATCTATCCATCTGACAAAGGGCTAATACCCAGAATCTACAAAGAAGTTAAACAAATTTACAAGAAAAGAACAAACAACCCCATCAGAAAATGGGCGAAGGATGTGAACAGACACTTCCAAAGACATTTATGCAGCCAACAAACATAAAAAATGCTCATCATCACAGGTCAATAGAGAAATGCAAATCAAAACCACAATGAGATAACATCTCACACCAGTTAGAATGACAATCATTAAAAAGTCAGGAAACAACAGATGCTGGAGAGGATGTGGAAAAATAGAAATGCTTTTACACTGTTGGTGGGAGTGTAAATTAGTTCAACCATTGTGGAAGACAGTGTGGCGATTCTTCAAGGATCTAAAACTAGAAATACCATTTGACCCAGTCATCCCATTACTGGGTATAAGAATAATAGATCATTCTACTATAAAGACACATTTACACGTATGTTTATTGTGGCACTATTCCCAATAGCAAAGACTTGGAACCAACCCAAATGTCCATCAATAATAGACTGGATAAAGAAAATGTGGCAGATATACACCATGGAATACTATGCAGCCATCAAAAGGGATGAGTTCATGTGCTTTCAGGGAAATGGATGAAGCTGGAAACCATCATTCTCAGCAAACTCACAAGAACAGAAAACCAAACACCGCATGTTCTCACTCATAAGTGGGAGTTGAACAATGAGAACACATGGACATAGAGAGGGGAACATCACACACCAGGGCCTGTCAGGGGTGGGGGGCTAGGGAAGGGATAGCATTAGGAGAAATACCTAATGTAGGTGACGGGTTGATGGGTGCAGCAAACCACCATGGCACGTGTATACCTATGCAACAAAACTTCACTTTCTGCACATGTACCCCAGAACTTAAAGTTAAATAAATACATAAATAAAATTGTAAGGGGACCCAGATTAAAATATCATTAGTATATTTCCTTTTACTAAGAAGCACACATTCGAAAATAAAAGAAGAAAGAGATTCTCCCTCTGTTCAGGCCAACAGCATTGGCAGCTAGGAAGCTTTGGTTTAGACGTCGACATTTTAGCAAATGTTCATCTTTACTAAAACTAGGCTCTGCCAAGAAGTTTAGCTTGAGATATAATCTCTGGTTTAGTGGTTGGGGATTCATTTCCTGACTGTGGGCAGTATTTTTGAATTTGTTCTTCCTTTGTGATTTAGGAAATATGCTTAAGTTCTCTGGCCTGGAATTTATTATAAGTTATTCTCATATATTTCTGTACCAGAACTAGAGAAATAACCACTGGATAAGTTTGGGAATCTATTGTACCCCCTGTGAGAAGAACTTGAGCTAAAAGTCCGTTGAGCACCTGACCTTCTTAAGCCTCTATTCTCACTGATGGACCACAGTAGTGTTTTGGGCCTCCTGAAATTCGTCTTATGTCAGATCCTGTATATAACAATTCTCAAAAGTCTGATTATTTTTCTTTTCTCTATGCAGAGTCACCTTGGCAAATGCCCATGGTTGTCTTCAGGGAAGGCTAGGAAAAGATTAACAGTAAAAAGTTCTGGCAGTATACTTCCTCAAAGAGTTCTAGCTTGCCTTTCATTCAAAAGGTTCTGGGTCTCCAAAGTGGCTTAAGTCTGAAAATTAATTGAAGGGTGTGATACTCAGTTTTTAAGCTACACTTTTGTTCACTTGACCTGGAACTCTTTTTCTCATATGCAGATCAAGTAAGGATTTAGGAGACAACCCATCTGTTTTAATTCTAATTACACCATGATTAAGTAGAAAATTCCATAGGCCTTTTTCTATTTGTCTGTAAGACTATTTTGGTTACTGTTTTGACTCCTCTGTCCATTACAGTAACCATTTTCTTGTCTTTGGTGATTAATTGCCATTATTTGACACCTGCTACCTCAATATCCAATATCCATATTGCCTTTAGAAATCTCAGCTTGGTGGCAGTCATCCCTACTGTAATTTCTGACCTACAGAGAAGAATGACCACAAGGCTCTTGAAGAAAGCCAGCACTCCCTTCACAAATTTATTTCCCACAGGTGTGGTAAAAGGCATATCCTCTGGACTGTCCCAGGGTGGGTGAGTAAGTCTTGCATGATAAATCCATTCTAACATTTTAATATCCCTAAACCTTTAAATAACTTCCTCTACAGTATACAAAGGCAGTTCTGATATTCCAACTTTATTTACTGTACACCATTTTTGGTCTGCATTTTAGCTAACCAACCAAACTATTAGGACCCATTCTAACTCCTCAGACTAAAATATTGAATCCAGAATCTTACCTTAGTTGGTCCATATCCATATATCAAGTTTGATACAACTTTATGTTTCTTCCCTCATTGTCTCACATATTTACTACCAACTCTTACACATATTCTTATTGGAATAGACAGAAAAATCATGCATTTCTTTGGTGTGTGGTGATTCGTTTTTCTTGTGAGCCACACTTGTATCTCACCTTCTGAGGCATACTGGGACTTGAGTCTAGTTATGGATCCAGAAGCAAAGAAGGGTGGTAAATGTATGTCCTGAAAATAATCAGCAGTGCCTTTCAAGAAAACTCCATAATAGAGGCCATTATAGTTTCTGCAGGAAATGGCAAGGTAACCTCCTCAAACAGGAGGAGAGATGCTGCTTATACTAGCAAAGACTCAGCAAAATTTTGGGTTTTCCATGTTCCCAGCTTCCTAAACATTTTCCCCCATGTCCTCATTCTAGTTTTCAGGATTACATTTCTTTCTAATCAAAGCCCTCATTTAAACAGTAGTCAACTCATAGGTTGGGAATTCAATTTGTATTCTAACCCTGCCTCTTGCAAGATAAGACTCTAGGTATGGTTTTCAGAGATTTCAATCCTGTGGCTATAGGAAAGAAGGGTTTCTTTCGGGGCAGACCTAGAAACTTTTAGGTAATTTATGTGGAGCTAGACACTGAGCTCATCCAATTATTCCTCTACTTTCTCCAGTGCAGTTATGAGCACCCAATCTATCTCATTATATACTTTAGTTTGACTAAAATGTTCCAAGGTACAAATATATGCCACTCAAATTTTATGAACTACAAATACATGTCATTCAAAACTTTTCCTTTTATGGATATTTGGTTAGGAATATCCAATGATGGTGAAATTTTGCACATATCTATTGCCACATTATGCCATGCACTGTCACTGGAAATGAAGTCATTAGTGCTTTAAGTCTAGTCACACTAGAGAACAAATCCAGAAAACATAGAACCAATTCAGAAAAATCGTGTAAGATTCTATTCCTCTGGAACAATTCTTGGTATCAACATCTGTATCAGGCAAGGTTCCAATGGGGAAATAAAAACAGTAGGATATATATGCATGTGTGTGTGGAGAGAGAGAGAAAGAGAAAGAGAGAGAGAGAGAGAGACATATTTAGCAGGCACAAACAGTAATAAAATTAAACTCCAGGAAGCTTAAATGATGAATATCTTCTTAACCATGACAATCAGAAGTAAAGAGGAAAAAAAAATTTAATATAAACATGTGTTTTTGTGTTTGCGTACATATATAGTATACATATGTACATATACATATTGTATATATTATGTACAATTTTATTTACATATATAGTTTTCTAAAGAAGAAGCTTATATGAAAATCAATAACCAAATCTTTTAGTTAAAATATGTGACAGATGTATGACTAATATCTAAATTATATGAAAAATTTTTAAATATTGACTAAAAATTATTTGTCTAAGTGATATTTTAGTAGATTTATGTACAGAATTGTGTGTAAAAGCAAATATTTTCAAAAGCACCTGAAATTAAGATTATTAGTGATATCAATTTTATAACTGGAAAACCTAACCATTTTAGTATGAAATACTATTTTCAGGGAGAAGAAGAAAGTAAGAGAAATTTTTTAACATATCTATGAAATATATATGCTTTTAGGAAATCTTAAAAGTTGAGTTTTTTTTTTTGTTTAGTTTTTGGAAATCCCCATTTACAGTTTTCCATCCTCTAAATCCACACTGTACTCTTCTTATTCCTCTGGCATCTTTTGTAAGGATAATTTAATTCCATTTTTACGTAAAATCTCAGATATAAATCTTTCCTAATCTGCCCAGTGCGAAAATGAATACATTTCTCTCCTCTACACTGCTTTTACCCATGAAATTTGCCACAATCTCACTTGTACTAGCATATTTTCAGGTATTTTTATTCAAATGAATTGCATGTTCTTCTGTAGAGATTAGCAATGCTTATATTTTGTAATAAGAAGCAATAGCATACCATCTAATTCAGCATCTAATACAGCTGAGATCTGTGGATGTCTGTGAAGTCACTTCAGGAGCAGTATTTAACAAATCTAGCCTTTAGACCATGTATTATTTCAATATTATTGCAGTGATAATTTCATATTTACACTTTTCAAAAGACATATTTAGCAGGCACAAACAGTAATAAAATTAAACTCCAGGAAGCTTAAATGATATCTAACCCTAAGATGATGAATATCTTCTTAACCATGACAATCAGAAGTAAAGAGGAAAAAAAAATTAATATAAACATGTGTTTTTGTGTTTGTGTACATATATAGTATACATATGTACATATGCAGTATACATGTGTATATATACATATTGTATATGATATATACAATTTTATTTACATATATAGTTTTCTAAAGAAGAAGCTTATATAAAAATCAATAACCAAATCTTTTAGTTAAAATATAATGTGACAGATGTATGACTAATATCTAAATTATATGAAAAATTTTTAAATATTGACTAACAAAAAACTCCAAAAGAAAAATATATAGAAAATTCATTGAACATCAAATTCAAATTTCTAATGTAAAAGTTGTCCAAGGTCACAAAAGGTATTCAAGGTCACAAAATACTCATAGAAATAAAATAACAATGAGGCATCGGTCACATCCGAAAGGGCAGGAAAAGTTAAGATAGAAAAATATGACTATCAGTGACTTTCGGAATGCAGGATCATGGACACTCTTACTATTGATGGAGGACTCTTAAATTGTTGTACTTTTGCAAAAGTAATTTGGCAGCATCTCTTAAAACTAATTTTAAAAGTACACATATATTTATATAGCACAAATCCATTAATAGTCATTCATAAAAACCCAAAGACTAGGATGTAAGTATATATATTCAATGATATTTCATATGCATTTTTTATAATGGTAAAAAATAAGTCAATGGAAAAAAATGAATGAGTGACTCTACCGAGGTACAACCACTTTATGAACTGTAGCTCTTACATTCAAGGTCTAATTTGATTCGTTGGGGTTTTGTAAGGTAGGAATGAGTGACAAAAACAAGATGAGAAGTGTCTAACCCCATGTTGATAATATTGCTGTAAAGCTAACACTGATGAAATCTGTGTGTATGTGTGTGTGTTGTGTGTGTGTGTGATGAAAACATAAGACCATCTGTGAATTGTATGTATGAAGTGTTTATGATATAGGCAGTAAGGGGCTTCCACAATCAGAGAAGCTGCCGCTTGATGACTTTTTCAACCTGAATCATGAAGGTAGTGGTCCACAAAAGCTCAGGAAAAAGCAGCTGTGCAGTTTATGTCTTTCCACAGTCCCTTCTACACCTGCAGCAAAAGAATAAATGGCCCCTAAGAGCTTTTCTTCAATCTTCCAAATATGATGCCGGGGCATCGCATTGGCAGTTTCTCATCTAGAAATTATATGATAAATGTTGATCTCAGCTTCTCATCTGGAATCAGCTGTAACGTGTATAGAGCATGGGAGGATAAACACCATACCTATAGGGGATGGAGTAGGTGGCAATGGTGAATAAATGGTGAGTCAAAAAAAGAGGAAAAGGAGACAGATTAATATGAGGAGAGAAATGTTTGCTTTAAAATATACAGTGCATAGTTTCATAGTTTAATCCCATTTACCTAAACTTTTATGTGTGTGTTGTGTATACAAACACAAGCACATATACAGACTATATGTGTGTTTAGGGATGCATGTTGTTATCTAGTGTATTTCTAGTGTATTTTTTAATAAAGAGGCATTCAAGTATTAATATGAAGTATATATTGTCCAGTGAAGCAAATGAATTTCAGACTACTGTCTAGATTAATTCTATTTTGCAAAAACAAAGATGTGTATGCTGTGGCTATATAAACACATATATGTAACAGAGGAGAGAAATGGAGATGTACTAAGGTATAAATCTTGTAAGCATACCTGCAATAAAAATTATGATTTTAGGGTACTATTTTAATGTCAATATTTCTCATCCCCAATAAAAGAGAATATTATATATCTACCCTTAGATTTTTAGATATGTGTTTTAATCATCTGTAATATAATAAGCATTATTATTAAATATCAAAAGAAACTATAAATCTTACAGTTTATAAACATATGTATCATAATACAAAGGTTCTGGCCATATCAATTTCTTTCCTTAATTAAGTTCTTATTAAGTGCTAGGCACCATGGCTTTGAGAACATAAGCTCATTTTTACTGAGAAGAATTCTGTTATAGATCAATCTAAAATTTTATCCAAGATGACTATCTGATACCTGAGAATGAAAAGAAAGATGAATTTCACAAACAGCTATGTCTGGCTTATTTTGATTTGAGAATTGATGATGGAATATCCAGTTAAAATATCCGGCTAAACAGATGAAGACTAAGCAGCTAAGCCAAATTTCTTTAAGTGCTATTACTATATCCCCAAAAGAAATGTGAATGAGCCCACTTATGGTAGCCATTACTGTTCAGTCCAGTTTCAGAGACACAGTGATTTAATAGATGATGCTTCCTCAATTAAACCAGTTCTGGTATCGTATTCATGAATATGTTTTATTCATCTGAGAGTATTAAAAATAAAATAACCTCAAGTAAACAAAGTAATATTGATATTGCATTGAATACAGTTGTGGATCTGTAATGATAACCTATTTTTATCTATTAGATGCACGTTTTGGTACATATTCATGTACATTATTTAAAAGATATATGCATGCTTTCAAATAGGTTATAAATAAATTTTTTTTATTGTCATAACAGTAATCAATGTCACTTTAGGTCAGACATTCATATATGTGGGGGTAGGTATGTATGTCTGTGTGCACACCTCTGTGCATGTGTGGTATAAATCCATTTATTTTTACGTATTATACATTAATATAATTTCTAAAATAACCAAGAAATACAATTTTTACATTATTGAAATTTTACAAAAATTGGTGCTGTATAAAGTTGGAATAGAGATAGTCCCTAAGTTGTTTGTAATCTTAATTATAATGTATCAGAAACTTGAACTATGTTATTTTTATTATTTTTATGTACATGCTGAAATCTGTTACAAAGTTTGCCTAAAATAAAAAGTAATAATTAGTTATTACATTTTATCCAAAATGAATAAAATTGATAAATTTAAGGAATATAATATTGAGAACAAAATTTGAAAAAACATTAAAAAAATTCAAGCTGTTTACATGTTTATGGGGGGAAAAAAGAAAGGAAATCAACAGACTAACTGTGACCACAACCCTAAAACCAGGTGAAAGAACTCTTGTATTTTGGTTGTTGATTAAAATTACTATAAATGTTTTTAAGGTGCAAATCTTCTATGTATAAAATGAAGATTCAGTTAAAATATCTAGATAAGGTGCTTCATGCATGGCAGTTAGAATAGTGCTTATCTCAATATTTTTATGGTAATTTGAGTTCAGATAGAGTTCAAAAGAAAATGATTTACGCTTATGAAAGGATATTTGCCTTGGAAAGATTTTAAATAAGTTTTCTAGCTTGGGGAAATGCTGTTTATTAGATTAATGGTGAGTTTTCTGACACTGAGTAAGCAAGCAAGGTGGACATTTACTTTTCTGGTTGACATTTTAAAAAATGATAGTCCCTTGTGAAAATACTGAAACCAAGATATAAACCATTCATGTTCTTTTGTATAGTTTTTCATTACTGTCACCTGCTCTCCCTCCTTTTTTCTGTTTCCCTAGATCTCAAAATACTACCAGTGTTCATGGTTTATTAATAATTCTTATGTTATTGTAAAAGTTTTAAAATGAATTCAGTCATTCATGTGCACATTACTTTATTGCACATTGATTAACATTTCGAAGTTGGCTTGATCTTCTGACATGATCTGAGAGCTGGAGTGTAGATACTGAATACAGCCACAAAGAAAACTTTCTTAGAAATAGAAGCCTCATGCTGGCATTGTTGATCTACTTCAAAATAAAAAGGTGGATTTTTGAAAAAGCCAAGAAAAATACTTCTCCTTACATACTAATACTGTGGGAGAAATCAAGACATCAGTCCAGGAAATAGACTTACAAAACTGGCTACTCATGAACAATTGACTATTATTATTATTATTTTCAGTGAAATTAGATTAGAATATTTTCTAGGCAACATCTCTAACACACATAAAGTCATTGCTCCACACTGGAATAATGTCTGAGTAAATACATCTTCATAAAAAACAACTATACACTGATTTTGGTAAAATGCACACATAAATACACACACACACACACACACACACAGAGATATATACATACGCACACAGTTGATCATTGAACAGCTTGGGAGTTAGGGAAGCCAACGCCCTGTGTATTTGAAAATCTGCGTATAATTTTTGACTTCTTTAAACTTAGCTACTAATGGCTTACTGTTGACTTGAAACCTTATGGATAACATAAACATTCAACAGTATTTTGTACATTATATGTATTATACATTGTATTCTTACAATTAAGTAAACTATAGAAAAGAAAATGTTATTAAGAAAAACATAAGAAAGAGATAATACATTTACAGTACTGCACTGTATTTGTTGATACCGTAAGTTTACATTATCTCTTTATGAGACTGTTTGAAATGACAGGCAACCACACGCTGCAAACATCAGTCTATGGTACAAACCAAGCAATTCAACTTTTCTTGTAATGTCACGACTTTTCTCTGCTTTTTGGGAGCACTTCCAGCATCACTAGTAGTACTTTGTAAGGGTTTCATGGTGTTATTCAAGGTATACGGTATTGTAATGAACAGGATGAAAAATATACCAGAAATAGGAGAGATTTTTTTTTTTACAGCAATATACAATTTACTGGAGAGATGAGCTGCTCATATGAAGAAGATTAGTGGCATAAGGCGTTTTAAGTGAATAGTCAAAAAACTTGAACTCACTGCAATAGCAATGGGTGGTAGCTTTGAAATTATTACAGAAGAGTATTTACTTAGTTAATTTTGCACAGTTATGATCTAATAATCCATCTTTATATTCATTTACATTTCTCTGGACTGTGAATGACACCATGTAGGATCTATAAGTGTTTAGTAAGTTTTGATTAATATTTTTAGTGTTAACTAAGTATAAGTTTTAATTAATTTTAACTTTGTATAGTAGATTTGTGATATTTTATGTTAGTAAATGATGAAATAGAGTAGTATCTGCATATGTTTTATAAGTTCATAACATACCTAGCTTTTTCTTAAATTTTCATTAATTCTAGACTACGTGGCTCATCTGTGAGTTTTTTTCAAATTGTCACAAATCTCTAAAAATTTTTTCCAATATATTTATTTTTAGAAACTGACATATTAATAGACCCATTCAGCTCCAACCTGTGCTGTTGGAAGGTAAACTATATGTGTGTGTGTGTGAGTCTATATATATATTTATATTTATATAATTTTATGAAGAAGAGGTGACAAAAATCTGTATCCCTATCAAAAAGAGATGGAGACATTTCAGCATGAAATTTGTAAAACTATAAATATTTTCATATACATATTCCAGCATCTTCTTCTGTATTACTGTCAGAACATCACAGTCTTTTTTGATAATAAGTAACTTCTTTCACCGGACATTTCATCTCTTGCTTCTATCCCAATATCTCCTTAGCTTCTGCCTTCCTTTTCTCTCTAACACATTCTAATATAAAACAGGAAAATTGTGTGAAATAAGGCCAATGGGGTATGCATTTTTCAGTGATCTTATTTGCAATCCAGGCTGCAGAGTTGAGTGATTCTTTCACATCCTCCAGTAGCATGAGTCACACTTTTATAACTGACATAAAATTTGAATCTACTAAACAGGCCACAGTGAATGCTTATGGAGGGAAGAGACAAATGGAGAAAGTTAAGAAATAAGGGAGTCAATTACTTGACATTTTGGTCATAGATTTGGAATCCATATACCCAATATAGAGCCATAAGTAATTTTTATATTAATATTAAATATTCTCACTCTATATTTCACAGTTCCAAATTAGCAGACAACACGATGCAATAAATTCTGCCCATAAAGGTATAACAATATGTCTTTTCCCAATTTTAGCTATAAATACTAAATGCTTGGCTAATTTTATAAGCTTAAAGCACATTGGTGTAATATTTTATAATTTTTTCCTTTTTTGCCTTCCAAAATGCAACAACAAAATACTGCAGCACATCTCAAATGCTATCCTTTCTTACTTCAATTTGATTTAATGTTACCATTCTCATTTCTAGTACAATAGAAAAGTATTAATTAAAGTGTCTTCAAGTTTCAAAATTCAAACACAAAATATAAATGTAAAAATAAAGAATTACCAGAAAACTTTATGGGGAAAAGTATATCAATAACTGGAAAAAATGTAGATCCCCACTTTATTACTTACATTTAGAATAGACCCACATCCCCATAAATATATATACCTCCTATGTACACATAAAAATTAAAAAGTAAAAAGTAAAGTAAAATAAAATAGATCCAAATGGATACAAGCTTTAACATAACCAATCAAAAACTTTCTGGAAGAAAAATTATGAGCATTAAACAATAATAATTTTGAGGAGGGGAGAGCCTTTCCAAATTAGTCATAAAACCCATAAGCCATTAAAGAAAAAAAAGTGATACATTTGACTCAATTATATTTTTACAAATAGAAAAAAAAAACCAAACATATAACATTAAAATGTAAAAGACAAACTAAAAATACATTCACAATACATGTGACTAATGAAAATCTATTTCCTTCATATATAAAAAAGTTTTGCAAAACAGCAAGCAAAAGAGATATGCAAGAAAACAGTGAATAATTGGCTACAGACCTGATTAAATGCAAACTACAGAAGTTTCAGTTTATTAATACAGAATGAATAAAAATTTCTTCTTTATTATATGTTAATATCCAATTACATTAGATACTATTCACTTTTATACATTTATAAGTTAATTTTTTTCATATTATGCCAATGTCTCTCTGTGTGTACTGAATGAAGTAATTCATTCATTCCTTCATTCAGTACACATTAATGGAGCATCCAAGTGCACAAGACACTCTACTGGCTATTGAGTATACTGCAGTAAATACAACACAATTTCTTTTCTTGAAAGCTGACATTTTAAATAGGAGAGAGAGAAGCAAAACTAACAGACAAACAAATGCACAATAAAACACCAGAGAGAGATAAGTGCTTTAGAATATAGTCTCACTATTTCACAATATTCAGAATATTGTTCACTATAATGTGAAACGTTTTATTATAAAATATCTGAGAAAACCACTTTCCAGATATTTCCAACTACTTGCTTGGAAAACAGCAAGCAGAAAGTCTCTAAATTGAATGTTCATTTGGTAAATTGGAAGAAAAACAAAGATGTAGGCTACACTGAAAGGGAATAAGTGAAGAAAATAGGATAGAAAATGACAATAGATAGGGCCCTAGAGGCAAATCCTGTAGGAACACAAGAGATTATTTTTTAGCTTGTCAATAAGTGATGAAATGCATTGGCCATCAGAGACATGCAAATCAAAACCACAATGAGATACCATCTCACACCAGTTAGAATGGCAATCATTAAAAAGTCAGGAAACAACAGGTGCTGGAGAGGATGTAGAGAAATAGGAACACTTTTACTCTGTTGGTGGGACTGTAAACTAGTTCAACCATTCTGGAAGACAGTGTGGCAATTCCTCAAGGATCTAGAACTAGAAATACCATTTGACCCAGCCATCCCATTACTGGGTATACACCCACAGGATTATAAATCATGCTGCTATAAAGACACATGCACACATATGTTTATTGTGACACTATTCACAATAGCAAAGACTTGGAACCAACCCAAATGTCCATCAGTGATAGACTGGATTAAGAAAATGTGGCACATATACACCATGGAATACTATGCAGCCATAATAAAGGATGAGTTCATGTCCTTTGTAGGGATATGGATGAAGCTGGAAACCATCATTCTGAGCAAACTATGGCAAGGACAGAAAAACAAACACCGCATGTTCTGTCTCATAGGTGGGAATTGAACAATGAAAACACTTGGACACAGGATGAGGAACATCGCAGACCAGGTCGTGTTGTGGGGTGGGTGGAGCGGGGAGGGATAGCATTAGGAGATATGCCTAATGTAAATGATGAGTTAATGGGTGCAGCACACCAACATGGCACATGTATACATATGTAACAAACCTGCACGTTGTGCACACGTACCCTAGAACTTAAAAGTATAATAAAAAAATAAATAAATTGATTAATTAAAAAATTAAAATAAATAAATAAATAAATAAATAAATGATGAAATGAAGTGTGTGTGTGTGTGTGTGTGTGTGTGTGTGTGTGTGTGACAGGGTGGGGTGGGGGGGGAGAGAGAGAGAGAGAGAGAGAATGAGTTAAGTGTTACTCCAAGCACCATGGAACAATGATGTGAATTGCGGGTTAAAGTTCTTAGTAAGATATACAATGAAAGAGATGGAAAGGGCTTATGAAGAATAATAAAAAGTTTGACTGTAAACTAATTGATGTTTAATTGTTGGCATGTGAGCAGTGAATAAATACAAGATTTGGTGAGAACCAGTGTAACTGTGGTAGTCAATCACACTCAATTAGCACATTAAGAGTGCTCAGAGCATGGAACTGCAAGAGATCATATAGAGAATAGTGAAGTCCTAAAAGTACAGTCCTGAGTCGCTGAAATATTCAGAGGCAGTGAGTTTTTAAAAAAGTAATAAAATTAACTGAGAAGGAGTGCCTAGTGAGGGAGCAGGTGAACCGGCAGTGCAGAGTGTCACAGCAGCCATGTGGAAGGGGGTGATCACCTCTCTCAGTACTGCTGTGTTTTAGTCTATAATATTTATAATTAATACTAATCAAATTAATTATAACAAAAAGTTTACTATGGACTTTTTTCCTAACATCCTTCAGATAACTATGTATGCAAATATTTTAATCTTCAGAGAAAACTTGATTTTTCTAGAGTTTACAACAACTAGTAAAGCTGGAGATGTTTCTGCCAGTTGGGTTTTATAATTCTTATTTAATTGAATGGATGTTTAAAATATGTTACCTAGTTTAAAAAACGCTTTTGATAATAATTCAAAACCTAATACATTTAGTTAAAATTGCTCGTTATCATCAGGTCTGATTCATGTACAACCAAGAAAACTTTTGCATACTTTGCAAATTTTATATTTCATTGTTTTCAGTTTGATAATTTTGCTTTTGAAAACTATATTTTCATCACTGTTTTTCTTTTATTAATTTTTAATAAGTAAAATATTATTTGAATATAATAAAATAATATATTACTCTAAAGAGAAACTGATTAAAAACTGTACTTAGTAATAGAAAATAAAACTAAAAATAATAAACTCACACCGTTGTACACTGATCTTTAAGTCTGACAAGTTTATACTATTGTTAGCTATGATGAGTCATATGCTTTCAAAGTGCTGTGAAATATTTCATCCTAGAATGACCCTTGACATAATGTAGCAATTAATATTTTGGAAATTCACTACTGATTGTTAGATCTATATAGAACAATATTTTTCTCATGATTTCATATCAGCCTCACTTTCTTAACAACCTATAGAGCTAATTATAAATTATCAATGAAAATAATGTTTATTTTTCTTTAAAACTTGACAATGTGATATGTAATATTATGAGACAACTATTTACCTTTTAATATTAAGATATATCGAACTGAGGCAGCCTACAGTGCTTCCAAACACAGAGTTTAAAGACTGACAATTTGTTATGGAATAATTTGGCAAAATGAACATAAAAACAAACAGCAAAACCATGAATGCTGAAATTAAGAGTGAATGTCATCAAATCTCATTTAATTTTCCTCATAAACAAAAAAAATTGATCAATCTTTGACTGATGAGGAGCCAAGTATTTCTCTCTTGGAACTCTGTATTGTCTCGTTCAATAGTTCAAAATCACTGCATGCTTAATGTGTTGTTAAGTAGTGGGTAAGTACAAATAATACAACCTGGCTGCTCCTTGCTACTGCTCCCTACCAGTGCTACAAAAGAGTGGCCACAAAAGTTATTGGCACATGCTGGGGTGTGCTGTTACTGAATACAGCATAGACTTACCAGGGGATTTCAAAAGAAATTGAGGAATCACACTCAAATGTCAGCATGACAATAGGAAGCATGCTTGGATTTCAAAGACAACTTACTATCCTTCACCACTTCCAGTTGGTTGCATACCATTTAATAAGGCATGGACAAGCTTAGAACTATTTTTTCTTACTAAAGTATCCCAAAACAACCAGCTAAAAATAGTCTATATGCTAGAAAGGCATATTTGGCAACTAACTTGGCTACATTAGAGGCTTTCCCGTCGTTTATTTATTTACTTTTTAAAACTACATTACTGAATGTGGGGTGGAGCTCATTAACAGAAAGTGCAGATAAAACATTTAAGTGCCTGAACTCAGCATAGATACAACAGGATGTTTTACAAATAGTACTTCTAATCTTGCGTTAAAGTCGTAAACTGGTTCATTCTTTTTCTGTTTAAAAGATTGAATACCAGCCTAGTCAGGTTATATTTTGAAGGAAATATTTTGGCAAGGGATAGATTTCTAAGCTATGGCTTGCTATTTTCCTAGTTTTTTTTTTTTTTTTTCAGTCCATTACTGAAAGACTCAGTATTTGAATTTTTGATATCTTTCTCAGGTATCTTCCACGTGGCTTCAGCCATCCATTCATGGCCTTCACCAAGTTCCAGTATCATGAATAAATTTGGAAAGATCAAGGTGTCCTGGGTTATGTGCTTCCATGAAAAGTCTAAATCCATTGACAAGTTTCTGGGGGTTTTCTCCTGGGACAGACAAAACTTTCACTATTGCTTTGAGCTCTAAGTTTTGTTCATGGAATAAAGGTGGTTAAAGGAGCAGAACCTGTTGATGTCAGGGACTAACTTTATAAGGGGTTTATCTAGTTTTCTAGACTTGGAAGATAACTGGAGTTACCTTGGAGTGGGAAGATAACTGAAAAATTAAAATGAAATCCTAAGCTCTTCAAACTGACTGAATGCTCCCCTTTTGGTCAAGAAGACCCCTAAGAAGCCTTGTAAACTGAGTTGCTGTCCATGACAGGATACAAGATGGGACACATCTCATTATACCTACATCCTTGTTAACTGCCGTTATTAGGCTTTCTTCTCTAAGAGCTAAACAGAAACTAGCCCTTTAGAAAGACTCTCTCAACCAGCTACTGGAAGTTGACCCTCCCTTTTGCAATTTGGAATAAGCAACCGACCGGTATTCCCTCCAGGCTACACAGGATGTTGCAGTGAGTTTTCATGGCCTCTGCTTCACCTTTTGATGTCAGAAGGCCGAAAACTTCACTGTTGAACCTGGGTCCCATGGAGAGTTATGAAGTTTAATTGTATATGCATGCGTCTCCTTTCACAATTATTTATGATTCCTTCATAGCTTTTTGAATATGTATATTTTGCCACTCCTTTCTGCATAAATCCTGGTATTTTTCTTACAGTCCTCCAAGTGTCCGTTTCTAGTTTCTGGCTGGAGACTATGCCTCCCAGCTTGTCAGAATGGCCACCCTGCAGGCTTCCACCCTTTATGAGAAATAAAGCTCTTCTTTCCAGGTTTATAAACCTTGTCATTCTTCAGCTGACATAACTTAGTGAAAAGGCTAGCAGATTCAGAGTAATTAGACGGAGGAGGATAGAGGGAAAGAAAGAAGGTGCAGTTGGAATTAAGTTAGTCAACATATAATTTTTTCTCACTAGTTACTTAAGATTTTCATTTGCCTTTTCTGAGGAGTCTTTTGGAGATGAAATTTTGACTCATTTAGTCTTTTAGCAGCCTCTGCATGCCAATAAAAAATACATCCCGTTGTTTTTGAGGCTCTCAAAATCCCTTTTTCTTTTCAATATGCCCCATAGATGAGCAATTTTTGTTTAGGTTAAAATCTCCCCATTGCAGCCACCAAAATTCTAAATTATTTGTGGTATGGTTTATGCATTTCTTTAGAAAAGGATAGGTTCTGAGATGTAGAAGTCCCAGACGTCTTGGATTCAGATGAACTCATTACTCCCTTTCTTTTTGTAACTTTACCTAGAGTGGACCTTCCTACTGAACCCAGTCCAGTTTTTGTCTGACCCATGCTAATACCTGAGACCTCTCTGTTGGAACCAATCTAGTTTCTGCCATGACTTCTGAACCCAGTTGAGATAAAAATGCTCAAATAAACTCAGAGAACTCAACATACATTATGGAGCTCTTATTTAAGAGGGACCTATTAATGGTGACCTCCCAATGTTCAGTGCAAGAGGCTCAGAGGGGTACCTACACCTATTTTCTCATTGCTCCTAGTCATCACTGAAGGTCTACTTCAGATGATCACCTCTCCCATCATAACTGTCAAAAGAAAAGCTTTAGATATAATAAATTGTCAGAGTTTATTTGAGAGAAAAAAAAAAGAGTGTTATGAATTGGGCAGGACTCAGAAACAGAAGAGGTTCTGAGAGTTCTGCTGCAGCACATGGGTAGCTAGCTTTCATAGGCTGATGTGGAAGGAAGACAAAGAAAATATATCTGATTTGTTACAGTGGAAATTCCCAGTTAGAGGTTAGTTGATGTGAAAGGTGGGTAGATGGTTTCTGATTGGTAAAATGTCTAAATCTGTTTTATGATTTACATTGAGCTTTAGTTTGCTTATGAAGAAACTACAGCGCTACAGATGTCCCAGTCCAATGGCCCCCCAGTTAAAATTTGATTTAATGAAACATAAGTTTAATTTTTCCACTGTTTGAGAATTTCTATTCTGGTCTTTTAATTGAAGCTAGTTAAACATGCTTGCAAACATTCTCTTTACATTTTTTAAAAATGGATTTGCTCTTTTAACAAAAGGAAATGTCCTTTTTATATAGTTTTCCTGTTGAATTAAAATCTCTACTATATCTGTTATTAAATTGCTACATTAACTTTCTTTTTTGAAGTGTGGGCATGGTCTATATTTTTTAATGAAGTTACTTCCTGGAGATTTATATTTAAGGAGAGTTTCTTCTGAACTGAATATAGTGCATTTTCTTCATTTTATTTTAGAATAAATATAGATATTTAATTGGATTTTTGTGTGTTTATATACAACATGATTTCTGATATATTTTTATTTCAACCTATGATCTTATTATGTGTTTTCTTTGTCCCATAAATTTTTTTTGCTTCATTTATAATTTATTTTGAATGAATTTATTTTTTGTACATTCTATGTAATTCATTTTAATTTCTATAGCACTTTCTTGTATGTTAAGTAGCTATTTTTGGGGTTTTTTTTGAATCATTAAAAAGGAGGTGAAAACATGGCAGTATAATTTTCCTTTAAAAAGTTATATGCAATCTGAAGTTACCTCAGAGGCTAATTAGAAGGCATTTTTCTTTCATTTTTTCTGTTTTTCTCCTCCTTCTCCTTCTTCTTCTTTTTTTTTTATAGAAGGAACTCTACCTATGTTAACCAACAAGTTGTAGGTTAAAAATAAATTCATTCAAAATAAATTAGATACCACTGTTACACTGAGCTATGAAATAATTAAAGCATATTTTACTGAAGATTTTAAAATACCCAAATATAGAAAATTATTCAATGTCTGATCATTTGAAAAGATATTGTAAACAAAACATTTACCCTTCTTGGGAGAAAAATTAAACAGAAATATCTAAAGAATCTGCTTTTCCATCTGCAGTTATTTACCTTAATTATACCTTCATTATCTCATTACAGCTGGCTTTTTTCCCCCCTAGCAGTCTGTTCTCTACTCTGTCCATCCATTACTTTTGGGGGAAACAATCAAATATATTAATGTTAATTCTCTTCTTAGGACTCTATTGTGGAACTTCACTCTCTGTAGCAAAAATCCAAAATTATTAGCAGGCCTGCCAATACCCTTCTCAATTTAGTTCCAAGCTAACTCAGCAAGTACTCTGCAGCTCAAAATCTCTAGCTTTCTGTGCAACAATGGCCTGATCATATCTTACTGTAGCCTCGAACTCCTGGGCTCATATGATCCTCCTGCTCAGCCACCTGAAGAACTAAGATTACAGGTGCACTGCACCACACCCAGCTAATGTTGTTTCTATTGTTGTTGTAGAGACGGGGTCTCACCAGGTTGCCCAGTCTGATCTCAAACTCCTGACCTGAAGCAATCCTCTCATCTTGGCCTCCCAAAGCACTGGATTATTGGTGTGAGCCTCCATAACTGGCCTTAGCTTCCAATTTTTGT
This sequence comes from Homo sapiens, assembly GCF_000001405.40. Taxonomy (NCBI): domain Eukaryota; kingdom Metazoa; phylum Chordata; class Mammalia; order Primates; family Hominidae; genus Homo; species Homo sapiens. The sequence continues at coordinate 81,386,612 of NC_000013.11, forward strand.
ATGAGTTATAGCTTTCTTTGTTTGGAAATGCTTTCCATCTTATTTACTACTAGAAAAGAAAAACAATACAAAAGACTTTACCCAGTATTTTAATATCTGTGTCACATATTACCATTTCATTTTAGTGTTTCTTGACCTCAGTCTAAATTACAGCTTACCTTGATTGCCTAAAAATGGACGTTAAGGTGACAATCAATTGAGAAAGGGACAAATGAGGCCTCCGTCAGGAGAATTCTAGCTCAGTGATTATAATGTTTACATGTATTAATACCTAAGTCAACCCTGCACTTACTCATAGAGGAAAAAAAATTATGTTACTTTTGCTCTGTTATATTGGACATAAATCCCTTCTTTAGGAAATTTGTTATTAATGCATCATAATACCGGCCATTTGTTTCACCCTAAATTGTTAAAAATGACATTTTGATTAATGTTATTAAGACCACATAATCATTTCACCTTCGTTTGGAACCTATTATAGGTATAGAATTTTAGAGTTTTATAATCTGTTGGTAGATGATAAATAAACCAAGTATATAGCTAACAATAAGTTGAAGAATAATAAGACATTTAATATTAGCAGCATTTGGGAATGCCATATAAGCATGGAACGCAAAAGAGCTGAGAAAGATTCTCAAACTCAACTGACATTTTAAAATATTTATTTAAAGATTTAATTTAAAAACATTATAGTCAATAATAATCTTGCAAAAGATTAATAATTTAAGTGCACAATATTCAAATTTCATTCAGTTACCTAAAAATCAATCATATTTAATAAACATATATTTAATCCTTGTCATACTTTATAATGTTTCATATAGATTAGCTTCTTTTGTTAAAGTTACATTATTTCAATATCAAAATATATACATTTAAAATAAAATTTCATGAATACTAGAATCAGGAAATTACATTTAGTGTAATTTCAGTGTTTAAGTAAAGTAACATATATAAACTTTCCAGTCTGGGATTACGTTCTTGATTTAGTCATTTTTTGTGCAAGTTAGGACTGTACTGCTTGTGCAATCATTTGGATTTTTTCTTGTAAAAATAATCATTAACAAAGATATGATGATAAATTTCAACTAGACTCCTATTCATGAAAATTCATGTAGTCATTACCTTAAATAATTTTGTTTCTCAAGGTTTCCTAAAATTAATGGAATATATTTCACATGAATAGCCTGCTCCATATTTTTAGGGTAAACATGATGTATCTTGACATTATAGTTATCTTTCATCTTCTTTCCTAAGGAACTGAACAGACACTAATGGTCTTGTCCCAAGTTCCTTCTTATCACATCCATGTATTTTTAATGATTCTCTTTTCATTTTAAATTCTGTTTGAAAATTTGTGAAAGGGATTTGGCATGACTCAGAACATAGTTATCTTTTAAAATCAGGATCTAGCAATTCATTTAAAATTGAAATATGGCATACCTGTGCAACAAAAAAGATTTCAAAATATCTCTATGTAAGAATTTTTATTAAATAATAGCCATTTGATCCATAGTCAATTCTTGTGTATATTGTCTTTTCTTTTCAAAATAAGGATGCAGGTTTTTAGGTCAATATATACCAAACTATTTATTATTATAATTGCATACCACTAAATTCAAAATTACTGATATCCTTTAAGTAGAACATAAAGAGATTCCAAAAGGGAAATACATAGAGGGTATAGTGCCTCATTTTCTCTACCTAGGACTTGAGTAGAAGACTAAGATATTACAACCTAGTTAACTTGATGTGGAGTCAGAATAAGAGAGAATGGTGTTACATGTGCCTTTTTTATTTGGGACTATCCATGCATAGCTTGATGTGATTTTACATGGGAGGTAAAGAGTAGAGAAGCAAGAGGCAATGTTGAGTGAAGTGCCTGGACTGATGGGCCAGTGTGTAACCTGACAGACTCATGAATCTCTAATTTAAGACAAATGAAACCAGTGCCCAGATAGCCATTAATGATTAGGAAGTGAGTAATTGACATTTCTCTAGGCAGTTATTAACTGTAACCTTTAGCTGTTTGTTTAACCATTGATAGCTGTGCTGCTTATTTGTAAATGTCACATAGCCTCACGATAGTTTCTGCAATGTTCCTATAGATAACATCTCACTATGATGGATCAAAAGATGTTGTCTAAGTTGTTTGTCAGGAAATGAAGACTCAGCCTTGAACCTAGCTCAAACCAGTTGAGACCACCAAGCCTTCAAGTAAGTTTGCATTAGTGTCTAATGGTTGACTTTTTGATGTTAAAAAGAAGTCAAAACTCCACCCCTGGAACCAAATAAAAGCAAAAACAAAAACAAAAGCAAAAGACCCTCAATGACTAGGACCATGTTCTTGTGGATCTGTTTCTGAAGTGAAAGGTGACCCAGATAGTTGCACTCTGGTACCTAATCCATGGTCCCTGGAGTTTCTTCCATCCCAGCCAATCAACAGATGGCTCCTCATAACCCAATCCCCAACCCCTCAGTCCAGTCCCTAAAATACTCCTGCTTATGACCCATAAATGAGGTGGATTTGAGAATTGCTTTCCCATCTCCTCACTTGGGTGCCTCATAAATAAATCCTTGCTTTGCTGCAAATCTTGATGTCTCAGTGATTGCCTTGCTACACATTGGATAAATGAGCCTGGTTTGGTAACACAAACAAAAAACACCAAAAATCCTTGGGAACTCAAAATTATTGAACTCCTAAGTCTGAGAGCACTGGAATTTTGAGCTAGGGAAGTTTTAGAGGAGGAAGTGTAAAGAACCAAAGGTGACTACAGTGTTATTTTTTATCCTAGTGTGGGCATATATTCTAAAAGGAATCTTCCAATCAGTCTTGTAGCAATGAGTAAAGTGAAGATAGATCACAATGCTAGGGAATAAAATGGATGATGCACTTCAGCCAGAAGATAAGCAATGCCAAAGAATGAAATGGGATAAGATCGTCAAAGAAAGTTCTGAAAAAAGTAGGTATTTACCCATAAGTGACAAAGTACTTGACTATTGTTCTAATTTTTGAATTCGGCTGAAAAATCTTAATTGGAATAAATTACAATTTAGTGATGCTATAAGATTCTGTTCCATATGAGCTGGATATTTAAAATGATGTTTGAGTTAAAAAATATTTTAGAATTTGAAATTTTGGGCCGGGCATGGTGGCTCACGTCTGTAATCCCAGCTCTTTGGGAGGCCGAGGTGGGCGGATCACAAGGTCAAGAGATTGAGACCATCCTGGCCAACATGGTGAAATCCTGTTTCTACTAAAAATACAAAAATTAGCTGGGCATAGTGGCACGTGCCTGTAGTCCCAGCTACTTGGGAGGCTGAGGCAGGAGAATCCCTTGAACTAGGGAGGCAGAGGTTGCCGTGAGCTGAGATCACACTACTGCAATCCAGCCTGGGAACAGAGTGAGACGCAGTCTCAAAAAAGAATTTACAATTTTGAACAGACCATTAAATCACTAATTATGTTTCTAAAATTTACAAATAGTCTCTTGCCTTCTTGAATTTCAGGTTTAAGGTAAACCTTCTTCTTCCTCACTCTTTGCTCCCCAGTTGATTACAGGAATGCTCACATTGGCTTATTCCATGCCACTATTGTAGTGGATGGTGTCTGGCCTCAGAACACTATACACCAAAATACGGCATCTTGACAGCTGAGAAAACCACAGCAGCAAGGTCACTCTGACCTTTTCCCATATTTCTTCCCAAAGGATGCTCATAAAGAAATTCTCTGACCTACCTTGCCTGAAACTAGGTCGTAAGATCCTCATTCCAGAGAAATCCTGTACTATACCTGGAGGCCAAGAAGAATCTGAACAGTTTCCCCAGTATATTACCTTCAGGTAACAATTACTCCCTTTTTTGGTTCAATTATATTTCTACATGAATGTCTGCTTTTCATTAAATCAAAGAAGAAAAATACACTTTCTGCAGGTCTTTGGGTCTTGCTTTTTACTTGTCAATCTCTTTTGTTATAGGAGTCTCAGTTATGCACCTTGCAATAAATTAGGAAAACAAAGTACTTTTTATTCTTTAAACATTATTAGAAATATCCCCCATTCCTCTCTTAAAAATTATTTCAACTCAATCTACAAACTTCAAAATTCTTTACTTTTGATATGAGGATCAAATATGTGAAACTTCTTAAGGTACAATTTAGAAAGAAAAATTTGAAAGACAAAACTGCTATAATTTATTTAGTCAGGTACCATTTCTTTTTTTTTTTTTTTTTTTTTTTTTTTTTTGCGACGGAGTCTTGCTCTATTGCCCAGGCTGGAGTGCAGTGGCACGATGAAGGCTAACTGCAAGCTCCGCCTCCCGGGTTCACGCCATTCACCTGCCTCAGTCTCCCAAGTAGCTGGGACTACAGGTGCCCGCCACCACGCCCAGCTAATTTTTTTGTATTTTTAGTAGAGACAGGGTTTCACCATGTTAGACAGGATGGTCTCGATCTCCTGACCTCGAGATCTGCCTGCCTTGGCCTCCCAAAGTGCTGGGATTACAGGCATGAGCCACTGCGCCTGGCCAGTCAGGTACCATTTCTATGTTTCAGTATAGGTCAGTATAAAAATTGGATTCTTTCAGATATCCACACAACCAACTAAGAATAATGTTAACATGACTAATTTTCTCTCATATTATTATTATTAGAAAATTATGCCAAGCCTCTATTTGAATAATTTATAGTTTTATATATTTTATATATTTATTTATTTATTTATTTATTTATTTTTGAGACAGAGTCTTGCTCTGTTCCCCAGGCTGGAGTGCAGTGGCGGGATCTCACCTCACTGCAACCTCCACCTGGCGGGTTCAAGTGATTCTCCTGCCTCAGCCTCCTGAGTAGCTAGGATTACGGGCGCCTGCCACCACACCTGGCTAATTTTTATATTTTTAGTAGAGATAGGGTTTCACCATGTTGGCCAGGCTAGTTTTGAACTCCTGACCTCAAGTGATCTGCCCACCTCGGCCTGCCAAAGTGCTGGGATTACAAGCGTGAGCCACTATGCCTGACCTATATTTTATATCTTTTAATTTTATTTATTTTATATATTTCACATGCTTAAATTTTAATAATTTTCATTTTGTTTTTTATACATATATAATATTTGTGCATACTTACGATGTACATGTGATATTTTGTGACATGCATAAAATGTGTAATGATCAGGTCTGGGTGTTCAGCGTATCTATCACCTCAGGTATTTATTGTTTCTATGTGTTAGGGATACTTCAAGTCATCTCTTCTAGCTATTTTGAAATAGACAATACATTTTTGTTAACTATAGTCATCCTACACTGCTATCAAACATTAGAACTTATTCCCTCTGTCGAATTGTATATTTTTACCCATTAGCCATCCTGTCTCCATTCCTGGCCCCCACACCCTACCTACCCTCCAGTACTTATCATTCTATTCTCTACCTCCATGAGATCAAACTCTTTGGCTCCCACATATGATTGAGAACATGCAATATTTTTCTTTCTATACCTGGCTTATTTCATTTAGCATAATGACTTCCAATTCCACCCATGTTGCTGCAAATGACATGATTTCACTCTTTTTTATGGCTAAATAGTATTCCATTGTGTAGATACATAACGTTTTCTTTATCCATTCATCTGTTGATGGACATTTAGGTGGATTTCATATCTTTGCTATTGTAAATACTGCTGCAATAAACATGGGTGCAGGAGGAAGCTATCCCTTTGATATACTGATTTCTTTTCCTTTAGATAAATATCCGGTAGTGGGATTGATGAATTGGCTGGTAGTTCTATTTGTAATTTTTGGAGAAATCTCTATACTGTTTTCCATAGTGACTGTATTAGTTTACATTCCCACTAGCAGTTTAAAATTTCCCTTTTATCTGTCATCCTTGCCAGCATCTGTTACTTTTTGTCTTTTTAGTAATAGCCATTCTAACTGGCTATATTGTCAACTCCTTAAGCTTGGCCTATACTGTAAACTCTTTAAGGTTGTCATTCCAGAGTATAAGTTTAATCATCATCAACAAATAATGTTAGAATTTTTATAGTCACATTCCTTAAGTGGTGTTAAATATAAATAAAAATTGTGAGATCACATAATAGGCTGCACTAAAATATGAAGAGTTGTTGAGCTGAAGACAATTAAAAAGTAACAGAGACAGAAAAGTTCTCTGCCCTCCCTCTATTTGCCTAAAAGCAGGACACAGACTTACAAAGACAAAAGGTATTCTGTGCCCACTCACCTACTACCACAGAGAACAAAGGCTAATTACTGAAGGCAACTTTAGAGCTTTATCAGCCTGGAGAGGGTCAGAGGAATCTATATTAACAGGCTTTGCTAACATTTATCTGCCAATTATTTGCCTTTCCACAAGTTGCAGCCTCTAGAGACTCAAAGCCCTTTTTCTATGTCTTGTCAGTTCTCTAAAAATGTACTGTTTTTGTTGAAGATGCTATATAAACTCAAATTCAAACTCACCTCTTTGAGAATTTTTCATTTCCTGGGTGTGTTCCATTTATATATGAAATCTGCATGTTAATGAACTTCTGTTTGTTCTTCTCTTGTTAATCTGTTAATCTGTTTTTTGTAACAGGGATGTGTTTCAACTAAGAATATATGGGATTTACTCTTTCTTCCCCTGTAGAATCTTGTGGACATAAGAGTAATATTGAGATGATGATTCATAAGCAGGGAAACCACTAATTTCAGAATTCTATCCTAAACAGTTAACTTGTTTGAGTTTGTTAAACGTTAAATATATATAGTCCTTTGCTTTCGAAATTCTTTTCTCATATAAATAAATATTTGTTCTTCAGTAAGGTAGGCCGAGAGATGCCATAGATAGAAAAAAGAGAAAACATTCATAAGTATTAAAGTTACAAAAATAAGAATCATAAATCCTATAAATCAGCAGGGAAGGAAGGAAGGAAGGAAGCAGGGAAGGAAGGGAGGAAGGGAAAGGAATTTACTTGCAGGTATGTTTTAAGAGTGGTTTTGACAGCAGAATGCTAAATTTCCTAGGTATTTTGGGAAATGCAAGAAAATCAGATTATGAAGTGTAGGAGGCTGATAAAGTGTAGGCCCTGTGGATCTGTTCTCTCAGGATAAGCCATCACAAAACCGAACAAACTTTTACAAAAAGGAATTCAGATATATATAGAAGGCAGTAAATAAAACAGAGGCAGCTGCTTGTTTATATCCTGGTGTACTTTCACACTCTGAAGCCACTGACACACAGAGGTGCTGACAAAGATCAGAAGGACAGTGAACAAACACAACACCAAAACAAACTCTGCTGTGCCCTTTCTTGACAGCAGGGCTCAGAGCAGAGTCCCTCCAACTTCCTCAAGCTCCTCTGGTTCCTGAGAAATGTAGCCATGAGAACTCTCTTTTCATAACTCAGACATAAACAATCTAAGGTGAAAAAAATATCAAAGCTGTGTGCTTCCTTAGAAAGTAGGCATGTTCAAATCACATCATGTCATTATTTCTCAACCTACAGACTGAATTTTTTTTAAAGTTCAGACCAAACAGTTAATAATGGGGTTAAATAAAACAGAGAAATTTATACCCTCTGAAGGTGCTATATTAAGCAATAAAATTCAATGATGTCATGCAAACAATTGGGCCTTGAAATATTATTCTTTATTACCAAGAAAAATAAGGACAGGTCTCCAAATAACAACAAAACATCACTGTCAACCATATTCCAAATAAATCACACAATCACAAGAAAAAAAAAACAAATAAAACTCTAGCAATAAACATAAGCGTGCATAGGCATTCTTCCAATGTGAGGACCACACTTAAGAGACTCGGTTAAATGCTGAGCTGGATCTCTTATTCACAAATTTCCTTGAATGTTACATTATCATGTTACATTTACTAAGCCTTATACAATATCATTTTGATAAATGATTTTAAAGAGATTTAGGATATATCACTCCGATATATACCATCCTGGCATCTTGATTATTTTGAATAAAAACAAATTGCACTCAACCAACACAGAAACAGTTCTTCATCTTCCACTCAACTGCCTAAAATAAAGTTCCCTTTCGTAAAGAAGATTTATATCCATGCGGGATTTTTTTTTTTTCTTTTTTTTTTTAGTAAGGATATCTGTAACAGGAAGCGAGCTGCTCCCAGACAACTTTTATTACCTAAGAGAGTTTTGTCTGCATAACAAGGCAACCTTTGTTCACCATACATTTCTTCTCCTCACGCTGCGATAATTTGACTCTACCACCTCTCAGGAGCCTCAAGCCCCTGTTTCTTTCTATAGCTCAGGATGTGATATAGACTTTCTTCATCTGGCCCTTCTTTGACTCTAATATTTTTGTGGGACTCCTGTGCACAGAACCAAACAAATTTACAAAAAGGAATTCAGAGATATATAGAAGGCAGTAAAGAAAATAGAGGCAGCTGCTTCTTTTTATCTTGGAGTACTTTCACAGTTTGGAGCCACTGACACACAAAGGTGCTGGCAAAAATCAGGCTGGTGAACAAAACAACAAACACTGAAGCAAACCCTGCCATTTTCCTTTTTTAGTGGCTAATCTTGCCTGGTTATTTGATGAGATTCCTGGGTTGGGAGGGTGGGTGGTGCATCTTAACGCAATTGCATTTCTTTTGAACATGTTTCCTTAGTCCAATAAGGAAATTCCAGATGTTGCAGAATTTTGCTCCTTAGTTCTACTAAAACTGGGTTCTTGTGACACAACCAGGAAAAATTAGGCACACATACACATTGAATGGAATGTATTGGGTGAAAAGAAAAGAAAAGAAAAAAAGAACTATCAGCAAAGCAAGGGGGTTCCTGCTAACAGGCTGCCATCTCACAGATTGATTCCAGGACGCATACATGAGCTGAAGACAGCAGGCTCCTCCCCTGTGTAAGACTCAAATTCTCCATAGCTCCACCCACTTCCGCCAGTGCCTGTTTCTGGCTCCAGGCCGCTGGGTGAAATGCCCAGACCAGCCCTGGGAAGCTTCTCTCATCTGCACAAAAACATCTGTTGTAAACACTTGTGGGGCAGGTTGGAGATTCTCTAGGGATCCCTTTTTATCTGCCTAGGCATGTGGCTGTCTCACAGAGACAGTCCCTCCCCGTACTAGGGGGTAAGGAGAAACAAGAGAAGGGTAGAAAGTTAGGCTGCTTTTTGGACCTCGCGATTTCTTTTAATTCAAAGTACTAAGCATGCCAAACTCCATACTTCGGAGTATTGTTCTCTGCATCCAACAGCTGCATAGCAATCTAGAAGGAAAACCTCAAGATTCGGCTTCGTTCTCTGCACTACTAGTGAGAGACAAATAAATTTCTTTTGAGCCATTGTCACTTTGAGTATCTTTGTTACAGGAGCATGGACTATACCCTAACTAATACTAGTGGCATCATTCTCACGTACTCTTCCATTGCTTGCCCTTTAATTCTATATTACATTGTGAGGTTTATCCATGTCTATGCATCTACCTATAATTTATTCATTTTTCCTGCTTCATACCAGTATTATGTTGTACATTATAAAACACAAATGTATAAAAAGGAAAATCATGTCTTCCAAGTAACTCATGAGTTAAAGATGGAGTCATGGTGAAACGTATAACATACTTGTGTTAGGGCAGGCAGATAGCTAGACATGAGGAGGAGGGGGAGCCCTGAGAAAAGGGAGGTCTGGACCTCCAGGGACCACCTGAAACCTGCATGTTAGATATGGGCAAGGAGGAGGGGAAATTTCTAGGCAGAAAGAACGCCCATTAAGATGCCAAGTAATCATTCACTCTGCAGTTAACCTGTCAGAATGTAGCTAGATGCATGTTGTAAGGGGAAGAAGGCAAAGAAGAAATGCCTAAGAGATACACAGGCACAAGCACAACCCCTGTAAAACCTTCCTGGGGGCAGGGTGCGGTAATGAGCAATGCAACCATTAAGTAAAATTTATATCCAACACCAGGCCCATGCACGTGCACCAACTAATAGGAAGGGAGGGTCCCACAAGCCTGGGGTGGGAAAGGAGAGGACTTAAAAAATAGGAGCGGGAAAACCAGACAAAGAAAAATGGCGGAGACTTCAGACATTGATGGGTAGGAACTTCAAGAAAAAATCCAGCTTCATAAAAACCCAACGCAGAGCTTTCAGACTGCTGCTGGATCACTCCCTTGCAGTAACCTGCTCTGCCTCATCTTTCAGAGTGTACTGTCTCTCTAAATAAACTCTCTGCTCTGTATTTTCCTTCAATAAATTCTCTTTTAAGCTAAATTAATTCGTTAGCAGCGTTCTTTCTCCAAGTAAGACTAATAACCTAGGATGAGTGCACTGCCTAGTAACATTTATAGTTGAAATCAACACAAATTTAAAAACTTCTGAGATGCAAAGAAAGTGTTATTTAGGAAATACCTATAACCTTAAAGTGCACATTTAAAAAATACTGAAAACGTCCATGTGCGGTGGCAAACACCTGTAATCCCAGCACTTTGGGAGGCCAAGGCGGGCGGATCACTAGGTCATCCTGGCAGATCGAGACCATCCTGGCTAACACAGTGAAACCCCGTCTCTACTAAAAATACAGAAGATTAGCTGGGCGTGGTGGCGGGCGCCTGTAGTCCCAGCTACTCCGGAGGCTGAGGCAGGAGAATGGTGTGAACCCAGGAGGCGGAGCTTGCAGTGAGCCGAGATCGTGCCACCGCACTCCAGCCGGGGCGACAGAGCGAGACTCCATCTCTAAAAAAACAAACAAAAAACAAGCAAGCAAACAAACAAAACTGAAAATAAATTAAGTCTTAATTTCAAGAAGCAAGGAAAAGATAAATTTTAAAAATAAAAGAAAATATTAAAGGTAATGAAAGAAGAAAAAATCACCAATAACCCACAAAACCCTTAAAAGCATAAATTAATATTATTGTAGGGGCCAGGCGTGGTGGCTCAGGCCTATAATCCCGGCACTTTGGGAGGCGGAGGCAGTCGGATCACAAGGTCAGTAGTTCGAGACCAGTCCAACCAACATTGTGAAGCCCCATCTTTACTAAAAATACAGAATTAGCTGGGCATGGTAGCACATGCCTGTAATCCCAGTTACTCGGGGGGCTGAGGCAGGAGACTCGCTTGAACCCAGGAGACAGAGGTTGCAGTGAGCCGAGATCACGCCATTGCACTCCACCCTGGCAAGTAGAGCGAAACTCTGTCTCAATAATAATAATAATAATAACAATAACAATAATATTGTGGGATGTCTAGTTGGGGAAACAAAGTATGCTTATGTGTGTGTGTGAGGGAGAGAAGGAGAATTTGATGTTTTATATAAAAACCCTTGAGAATACTAAAAGTATTGAAAAATAATTATACTGTCCTTCAGATTAATGCATAGAACTAGGCTAAGATAAAGTTTATTCAAGGCCTATATTTTAAATTCATTAATTGTTAACAATGTATAAGTAGCAATATTAGGATAAAAATATTTCCCTATGTTTTAATTAGCGTGATTTTTATAGAATGACAGTCTAACATAAAGCAAGTGCTCAGTAAATTCACCTAGAATAAATAATTAAATGCAAGATTGAATAATAAACCTTCAAAGATTTTGAGTTAAATCTTGCACAAAAGTAACTGGAATTTTTTGTGATTGCTATTGGTATATTTTAATCCAGATAATATTATATTAAATGCATCCATATATTTTTAATGTTGTTCATCTCATTTTCTTCTGTTCTATTTCTCACTCAGTGCATCACTGTTCCATTTCAGCTGCTCTAATAATGAATAAAACACAGTGAAAATTAGCCCTTGGAGGTTTGGCAACCTTAAAATATTAAATAAGCAATAAATATTAGGAAGCTGTAATTTTGAAATTTGCCCAGTAACATTTTTGTTTACAGATGTAACAGACAAACCCACAGGCAACTGAATTATTTTTTTCATCACTTTTCATTCATATGTATGTGAAGGAGCATTTTATTCTAAAAGTTGCCAATTTTGTCAAAACACTCAACTCATGCATGTTTTGATTCCTAAACCCTGTTTTTCTTGCTTTTTTTGTAATGGTATATATATCTCACTACTTCGTATTTATATCTTCTTCTTTAAAAAAGATAAGGCTTATAGAGACCGAGGCGGGTGGATCACGAGGTCAGGAGATCAAGACCATCCTGGCTAACACGGTGAAACCCAGTCTCTACTAAAAATACAAAAAATTAGCTGGGCGTGGTGGCGGGCGCTTGTAGTCCCAGCTACTTGGGAGGCTGAGGCAGGAGAATGGCGTGAACCTGGTAGGCGGAGCTTGCAGTGAGCCGAGATCACACCACTGCACTCCAGCCTGGGCGACAGAGCGAGACTCCGTCTCAAAAAAAAAAGAAGAAAAAAAAAGATAAGACTTATAAAACGGGCTATGGTAGAGGGAATGAAACTAGCTAATGCAAAGGTGAGGGAAGAAAAAAAGCCAAAGGAGATAACACTTAGGTGATGTAATAGAGCATATAGAATTTATTCAATTACAAGGCAATTCCACTTAAGCCTGCGGAGGAGAACATAGTTCAATTGTTTTCAAATCACCACAAAGTAAATTTTAATATTAAAGGTTGAATCTCTTTGCTTTGCACCTTAATGTATGCAAATCAGTCTAATTTCTATATTAATTTGCTCTAAAGGTAAAACTAAACTGAGTCTCAGTAGGAGGATATTTGTATTTCGTAATGGAGAGAATGAAGAGTCACAATAAATGGGAATTAAAATGTAAGTTCAAAGTAAGTTACAGAATCTCCTTTCAAAAGGTCACATTTCTGGCAGGTCAGTGGAAGAATTAGTTGTTTGCTATTACTGATAAAAATATATAGACATATATATGTCTATTCTATAACTACTATCCAGTGGTTATTCATCATTACTGGAATTTTTTTTTCTACATACGTGTAGACATTCTAAAAGACAGAAGATAATACATCTACTTCAGAGCTAGTTTTGATAATTTTTAAAAATATCTTTTTTCAATTTAAAAATGATAATAAAAAAATTAAAGTAGCTGGAGGTTCAGGATCCATGCATGATTCTCAAGAATTCTGTGAAATCTTTGAAATTGCATGCACCTTTTTTATGTGTGTACAGTTGATTCTGGAGCAATGTAGGCTTGAACTGTGCTGGTTTACTTATATGGCAATTTTTTTCAGTAAATACAATCCATACCTGTGCATCCTGTATCCACCACCAATGGATGGCTGGAAAATACAGTATTCGTGGGATGTTTATACTGTATGTGGAGCAAGAGTTGGTAAGAGGCAGGCAGACAAACTTGAAACCAATTCCCCACATACTGGGAGACAACTATATATGTCCTTGTGTATTTTGGGACAGATAATCTGACACTACCTTTACATTTTCTGTAATCCAAAGTAGTTGACCAATCATAGAACCATTGTATTCCCTAAAAATGTAAACAGATAATAAAAGATTTAGATTAAGCAAAATGAAGAGTCACAATGAATTTTCTTTAATGTAGCATGATCACAAATACCAATTGCCATAGAAAATTATTGCTGGTGTATTTTATGCATTCAAAAATATTCTATTGATCTATGATTTGTTTTATTATGTTAATGAAAACATAAAAGTGTAGGCATATTGCATGCGTTGGCTGGTCATTTGGTAGCTATATTTCAAATAAACAAAAGGAGTTCATTTCAAACAGATCAAATAACATGTATTCTTTCCTAGTATGCTAATAGAGAGGAGTCAATAAGAGAAATATCTTCAGTTACTACAGAATTGTCAATCTTAGTTTGTTTTTTTTTTTCCTTTCAACAAGCTAACAATTGAACAATTGAAGATTTCTTTTGACCTTTAAAATATCAATCCATTTCACTGCAGGAGGCAAGAAGAAAGATATTAAGCAGCTTAAGGTTATACACATATACACACACATGCTTTGTGTATACACATTACACACATACACATGATCCCCACACATGATTGTTCTAATCTAAAAGCAGTTTTTTTTTTCTATTAAGGTGCAATGTTCTTTTCCTTTCTCTTCTCTAGGACTGATTCCAAGAACAGAAATTAGCATTTAACAATGGGACAAGTGGAAAAGGAAAATAAATATGACTCATTTTGTTTTTTGCTCTTAGGCATAAATGCCTTTTCCCCAACTTATTTTGTATGGCTGACTCTTTCTTGCTTGCTTTAAGCTACAGCGAAAGGCTATTTATTTTTAAATTGACCCATGGTAAAGTTTGGTAACTACTGTCAAACAAACTTGGTCAGGAAACACACTTAGTGGCTATTTTCATCATTCTGTCTCTCTGCTTCCATTTGCCCTGGAAAGGGAAAGCAAGAAAGATGTTATCCATGCAAATAACAAGTGCATATTAAGAAATCATTGACAAAATGTTATAATCAGAATATGTAATTCTCAATCTTCAGAAAAATGTTTCTGCCCTGGCCTGAATTTTAAGAAGGAAAAGAATGTGATTATTTATAGTTAATACTTTTGCGTCAATAGTATTCTATTCTAATATCAAATATCTAATTTTTAAAAATTGTTTTATCTACATCTGTAATACTCTTTACTTTTGACTTACCTAATGAGTCAGATTAACTTTTTGAGAAAGATATCTTCTTTCTTTTTAAAAACTTAAGATAATTTCTTTCTAGAAGATAGAATGTGGACTATGAGAGAATGAGGTTCTTGTATGTCACATATGTTTTACTGAATGTTAATGAATTAAAAAACCAGCTTTTTCCAATATTACAGGTATAAGAAAAAATGTATCAATCAGTTTACCAACAGTTGTAGTGATTCAAAATGACTGCTGACAATATTAGATTTTTTCCCTGCAATAATTATGTTACATTAAAATAAGCCAACTGGTGTAATGCTGCTATTAAGCAGAAAATATATTCATAAAATTTGAAGTAGACATATAAATACAATTATAATGTCCAGAAGCACTGAATGGTAATTCAAATCATACTTTTAAGTTTCAGACATAAACATTTAACACAAAGATGATTAATCTTGCCAACTCTAGCAAAATTACTTTATTTTTCACTTGGAGAAGCGCTCATTTATATCGCAAAACCATTTGTTCAAAATTTTTGTAGTAGGCTTTTAAGCAATTTCTTTTTTTATTTAAGCGTTCTATACAATGGTAAATATGTATCCAATACACTTTGGAAAAGCATAAAATAAAAGTTTTGGGGTTTCTCTTTACTTTAAAAGGATTAATGTAACCATTTTCCAATAAGCATATTCATAATCTTAGCAATGAACAAAACAGCAAATCCAAAAGGGCTCTTTTGCTTAGGAATAGATGTACTGAAACTGGAATCAAATCTGTTCAGTGTGTCAGAATAGAACTCCTAAGCACTTGTGGTAGATTATTGTTTGCTAGATGAAATTTAAGGACTCCATCTGTGGAGCTTTATTTGCAAATTTTATAACTCAAATTTTGGATGTAATAATGTGAAATATAATAGATGTAGCTGCAAATCACATTACTGCAAATGAAGACAGACTATGTGACATGTTTAAAATGTAAGATATTTTTATTTCATAACAATATACTCTAAATAGTATGCTACTGCTTCTTGAAAGATACCATGCCTCATTCATTTTATACACTGTAACAGAGTGTAGACACAAATAAACACAAATAAATACTTTTGGTAATGTAAAAAATATGTATAGAAATTAATAAAATATTTTTTCATTTGTTCAACACCATCACTATTCACAGAAAAACTGGTAGAATAACACAGGTAATTGATTATACTGTTGGTTTGGCAACTGTGTATCTATATTTATCTATCTACATAAGAAAAACAGAGATATATAGACAGATTAATGTTTTATCTGAATCATCTAGCTCCATGTGTCCACAGCTCTTAGACAAGTAAGGTAATACATTTTACCGGTAGTTCAGAAGATGCCAAAACACATCATAACAGTGATTAAAATAAGCATACTTAATGCTCACACATTACAGTGATATACATAATGGAACATATTACAATATTATGCCACTTCTTTAGGGAGGACTTTTTGGTCTGATTACTTTTATAATGTCCTCTCATAGACCCTTACAGATCCTTTTTCATATCCTTCTTAATTCTTTAAACTATCTCATCAATATCAGCCTTTCCCACCTTTCCTTACTTCCCATGATAATTAGGACAATATATTGCTCATCAGCTAATGCTCTGATAATTACAATTATCTCCTATAATTACACTAGAGCATCATGTAATTATAGACCAAGTATAGTGGAAGCATATAATTAACACAGGAAACATGCTAAGATTTGAAGGATTAAAGTCAGTTGTGTACAGACTATTATGGACTAGTTTAAATAAATATTCAAAAAGAGTAAAGACTGCGTTTGCAGTTTTATTTTCTTGTCTTATGATAGGCTTTTTAATTTTTGCTGACTGATTGATAGACATGTTGTGTCTTGTAATAGAATTTGAGGTATATAGGCTTAGCGTGTGAGAATTTATGGTAAGTTGAATAGGATTTGGACTGTTTTGATGTTGGTTGTAGGTAGAGGTGCCAGAGCTTCCAATTCCTCTGCTTACTTTTGTCCCTCCTCCTGTCTTTGGATTTCCTATAAACTGCTGCTCAGAAAGATTCTATGTCTTGTCTTTAACCTATAATCCAATGTTATTATACTGGTGGTAAGGTGTGGGAGAAGAACATTCTGTAACTTTCCAAGTAAATTTCAGTTGGTTACTGTGGTTTTCCCAATCTATTTATTTGAACCTCAGTCCTCTGTTGAATGTGTTTTTACCTCCTTACATGTGACAGGTAGGTTGGAGAGAGTTCAGTGGGAAGGAATCCCCTTTCCCTTGGTACAAGTTTTCTGTAAAGGTTCTTTAGCCTGGAAGGTAGGAATTTTCTGTGGAGAAATTACTCCTCACCAGCCAGACCCATGAGGAGATTTTTCTTGAATTCTAACAGTGCAAAGTTTCTAGAAAGAAAGCCCTTAAAAGTGTTGAGGGAGGAGACAATAAGTCTGTGCCATCTCAGGAGTTTCTCATTTTCACACTTGTCAACAGTCAGCTTCCAGCAATTCTAATGTTCCTAATAGTTTATAATTTCAAACGTTTTTGCTCCAGGTAGTCAGATCTCAGCTGTGAATCTGGGTTTATCTGCTGTCCAGATTTAGGGCTGATGGTTTGCCCTACAACCTCAGCTCTTTAATGGGCCAAGAAAAGGTCACAGAATTTTAGTTTGTCCACCTATTTCTTGTCATAAGGAGAGGAGTGATAATATATTTCTGTGTCAGAGCTGCAACTAGTACTTTCTGTCAGTATATTTTAAATTACTTCTTCATTTTTTCCTTAGAGAAAAACATATTTTTATAAAGTTAGTGGATGTTCACTATAAGGTACAATCTTAGTTGTCAAGGGTGGGATGAAACTCTGTGTACTATTTTACTCTACACCTGATACATACTTAAGTTAGAGAACAGGAACACTTTTTGGACAGCTATTCCGATTGCTAAAAAGGGATCCTGTTATGTATTGTGACTTCGACATATCAGAACAAATGTAACACCAAGACTGTAAAGAAAGGAAAAAGTGATAAAAATATATCTCTCTGCATACCCCAATTATCTGTTATCCTGCTGAGGGTAATTGCACTTTGCATTTCACATGACTATTATTTGGCCCAGAAGAGCTGGTTTGATGCTATGAAACTTGTCTGGGTTATAGTGTTCTTAGGAAAAAATGGAAAGAGGAATTTTTTAAAGTTCCATTTCCTCCAAGCTATTAAAATCAACATATATCTTTTTGGATAACTTGCCCCACTGCCTGTGTACTAGTTCTGGGAGTGATAGGAAGGAGAGAGTTCTATGTTTGAAAGGTTATTTAAATTAAGGTGCAGTCATACATTATATGATATTTTCAATGATTTAAATGTTGTTATTGCTCCTAGGAATAAAATATATTTTTTCCATAGAAAAGTAAATCTTCTGATGAAAGTATAAATCAAGCTTTCTTTAAATATTAAAGATCTTGAATTAAGAAGAGATTGTGTGAAAAAATCAGTCTGTATCCTATATCCAACACACATTGTGAATTTGTTAGTACATTTTGAAATAATACATGGTAAATATGGTTTTGAAATGGAATCCAAAAAGGCCCTCCCCCAAAAAATACTTACAGTGTTTGTATACATATCCTCATATATAGTATATGTATACATGTGTGACTGTATGTGTGTTGTGTCAGTAAAGTGAAATATCAACATTTAAGTATGTAAATCACAGGTCATCACAAATAGAGGTAACGTTTGTGATTATTTAAAGCTGCTGCTTGAAGTGATGTAGCATTGAATGACCAGTAAATGTGGACATAGGGCGAGGATGCCAATGAGCAGCCCAGGGGCAAAATGTGCCTTATGAACAATTAGTTTTTCAAAGCTGTTAATTAGTTTTCCAAACATAAATATCAAAACATTTTAGATAAATAATTCAATGTCCATAATCACCCGTGAAGTAGAAGTTCTGACAAAAGTACATGCAAATGATTAACTGGACCTGCTTTGTAACTAGCTTTAAAATGGGGAATGTATTCTCCAGGGCATTACCATAATTCCTGTTTTACACATCCATTAGGTTTTGCAGTCTCCTCTAAATAACCAAGTTGGTGTACTTTCATATGGAGTGTACCCACACACATTGAAACATCAAGAAGTTTGAACAGATTAAAAGAGGTACCATATTTTTGCTTCATAGGCACTTAATTTATGTCACCAGGTAATGATATAAATAGTTGAACATAGAAAATGATATACAATAGACTTTTGAAGTGTTCTTTTACTACCTAGCATTTATCATTGTAATGTCATTACATTATAGTATATTATATAATAGTGTATTTTTGCTATTATGAGCCACATTATTCTTCCTTATTTTACTGTACTACGGCATTCATGACTTGTATGCCACACCATATCAAAGTTGTTCTGTATTTCTGACAAAATGAGTGACTTGCTGCGCCTTCTCTGAATATACTGTTCTTACCAACTGGACTACTCCAGCATTCATCTTCTCCATAGCTATAAAAATGCTACCCATCAATCAAGAGTTAACCCAAATGTCATATTTTTTGGAAGCTTTCACAGAAACACCTATTACACTAATTATATCATCTTAAATCTATATTAATTGTATTTTATTTTAATTGCTTGGATAATTAACAAAATAAATGATTGCATTGCATATTTAAAATGTATGAGTGATACAAAAGAAAGATCAGAGGAAGAGGAATTAAGACATTGGGCCTGGTAGGGAAGGCTGTAATATCGAACAGTATTGTCAAGATTGAGAGAGTGAAATTTGAACAAAAACTTAAAAGTGTGCAGCAATTAGCTATGCAGATCTGTGGGAAAAGAGTATTCAGGGCAAAAAGAAGAGATAGAGCAAATGCGCTAAAGTGGGCTTGTGCCTAGTGTATTCCAAATACACTAAATAATTGAGCTAAGTAATTGAGAAGAAAAGAATATTAGGAAGTGACCTTTTCCACGTGGTTTGTCATGATATGCAGAACTTAACATTCTAAGCTCTCACTAAAATATTTACTTGATTAATGCTTTATGCAACAGTGGGCAAGCCTGGTGACATTGTGAGCTGTAAAGATTTTAGTTTCAGACTTCCTGGATGAAAGCATAGCAGTGTGGTTAGAGGTTCTACCATACCAGCACTCCTTAGCTTGTTTTTGCAAATAAACTTTTAATTTTAATATGCAAAGCAAATCCTAACATCAAAAAGTCATTATCAAATATTTGCATTAATATTAGCAAAGGAAATAGTCGCAAATAGAAAACATGATAAAAGATTGAAGTGTGGTATGTGATACAGATATATTTACTGGTTGAAAAAAGTTAAATAGCAACATTGTTTAATTTAAGGGAAATAAACATTTCACTTTACGCAAGCATGCTTATTTCAAGCATCTATAGATTCACTGTTAAGAATATATCATATGCCAGTTGTTAAACATCTCTTTTTATATTAAATCAGTATATTTAACTCTTAAAAGTGCAGATATTTCACATATAGACATATACTGGCTTATGAAAACCTAAATTTCAAAAAGAATTTCACCATTTGTATTACTTATCTATTGCCATGAAAAAGTTACTCACAAACTCAGTAGCTTAAAGTAACAAACATTTATTAACTCACACTTCCTGTGGGTTTGGTATCTGGGCACGGCTTTGCTGGGCTTTCTGGCTCGCGTTTTCTCACAAAGTGTCAGCCTGGTAGCAGTCTCATTCTAAGGTTCAACTGAGATAGGATCCACTTCCAAGGTCACTCAACAGGCTGTTGGCATGATTCAGTCCCTCATGGGTGGTTGGCCTGGAGCCTCATTTCCTCACCTGCTCTTGGTTGAAAGCCTCCCTCAATCTTTTGACACAAGCTTCACCAGAATGCAGCTCACAACATGGTATCTGTCTTCCCACAGAGTGAAAGTGAGACAGAGAGAAGATGTGTGTTCCAGACAAAAGTCACAATCTTTTTGTAAGCATATATTGACAGTATGTTATCACTTGAATTGTAAGTAACCAGTTTCAACCCACACCGAAGGGGAGGAGACTGAACCAAGGCATGAATAAATAGGAAGGGAGGTTAACTGGGGACCTTCTCAGAGGCTGCTTGTCATACTGTACAAAGGAATTCTATGTTCATTCAATTTGAGCTTACTTGCAAGTGTTCAAGCTTTACAATTGCAACACATTAACATGGTAACCTATATAAAAATATTGCATACAACACACGTGTACATCACATTTTCTGACCATCCATAAGCCCCTTGCAGTCTGATTTTTGTTCTTATCACTTAATTGATTGAAATCACCTCATTGCATATTACCAAAGCTACAGTAATGCCAAACATAATACTGTTTCCTTAGTAATCAATGCTTATTTCTTGATTGATTTTCCTTTGTCATACCTTCTTTAAAAGCACTTTTATCTTTTATTCTAGATGCTTTGTTCTCTTGTTTTCTTTAGAACCTCTGTAATATTATGGTCTTTGTAATATCACACACTGAACGATAAATAGAAAACGTAAATCATTGTAGCTTCACAGAAATCAGCACCATGTGTATGATATTTTCAATTCTGGTTAATTTTCCTTTCAATCACCCAGGCTTGAAACTCAATCATTCATAATTCTCTTTCTTACCCCTATATATGATCTGGGTATAAATGTAATAATTTGTGTTCAATCATTTCCTACATATTTACATGATATACTGCAATATTTACAAGACATATATTTTTTCCTCCTATACATTACTCATACCAGTGACTTTTGTAAATTAAACTTCCAAAAGAACCCACCTCTGACTATGAAAAAACTATGAAAAATTTTTCTCATTGGTTCATAATTTCTACAGAATGAAGCCTAGAATTCCAAGATGACATTAACTATCTATGGGATCTAGCTCTGAGATAGAATTTTTTAATTTTTCCCAACTCTACTGTCTTATGTGTCCACATACCCATTTAATCAAGAGTTCTCAATGATTTTTTAACTAATGATCTTTATGTTTTTCACAGCAAAATTTAGGGGAGATACAATGAGTTCCCATGTGTCCCTTGTCCTCACAGGAACAAAACCTCCCCTAATTCCACACTACAGTGGTATATTTGTTACAATCCATGCATCATTATTACTTACAGTCTGCAATTCATGTTAAGGTTCATTCTTGGTGTTGTATATTCTAGGGTATTGGCAAATGTGTTATGACATGTGTCTGCCATTGTAGAATCATACAGAATAGTTTCACTGCATTAAAAATCCTCTGCTCTACCCATTCATTCTTCCTTCCCCACACCAAGCCCTTGCTACCACTCATCTTAGTACTGTCTCCATTGTTTTCCTTGTCTAGAATGCAATATAGTTATTTAGGTTGGTACAAAAGTAATAGCTGTTTTGCCATTACTTTTGCACCAACCTAGTATAATCATCCATTATGAAGTCTTTCCACAAGGATTCTTTCACTTAATCATATTCATTTAGATTTCCTCCATGTCTTTACATGGCTCGATAGCTCATTTCTTTTTAATGCTGAATAATGTTCCTTTGTCTGGATATACCAGAGTTTATTTATTCATTTATTTACTGAAGGACATCAAAGTTGCTTCCAGTTTTGGAAGTTATGAAAAAAGCAGCTATAAAGATTCTTGTGCAGGTTTTTATGTGGCCATAAGTTTTCAGTTTATTTGGGTAGGTACTAAGGAGCGTGATTGCTGAATTGCATCATAAAACATGTTTCCTTTTCTAAGAAACTGCCAAATTGCCCTCCAGAATGGCTATACCATTTTGCATTTCCACCAGCAATAAATGACAGTACCTGTTGCTAAACATTCTTGAAATCATTTGGTGGTGTCAGTATTTTGGATTTGGGCCATTCTAATGGGTGTAAGGTGGTATTTCATTGTTGTTTTAATTTGCAATTCCTTACTGACATATGACACTGAACAACTTTTCAAAGGCCTACTTGCTGTCATTGTACTTTCTTTAGTGAAGTTGGTGTTTAGTTAATTTATCCATTTTTAAATTGGATTATTCATCTTCTTATGCTTGAGTTTCAAGAGTTCATTGTATATTTTAAATAACAATGTATGTGTCTTTAGCAAATGTTTTATCAGGTGTGTTTTTTCTGTGGTTTATCTTCTCATTCTCTTAATATTATCTTTATCAAAACAATTTTAAAAAATTTAAATGAAGTTCAGCTTAATAATTGTTTAATTTATGAATTGTGCCTTTTGATATTCTAAAAAGTCATCTCCAAACCCAAGGTCCTCTAGGATTTCTCTTATGATATCTTCTAGGAGTTTTATAGTTTGCATCTTACATTTAGATCTATGATTCACTTTGAGTCATATTTTGTGAAGAATGTAGGGTTTATGTCTATGTTCACTTTTTGAATACTAATATCTAGTTGTGCCAGCACTGTTTGTGAGAAAAACTTCTTCTCCATTGTATTGCTTTTCTCTTTGGTCAAAATTCATTTGTCTACATTTATGTAGGTGTAATTCTATTTTGTTCCATTGATTTGTCTATTACTTTTTTTTACCCAAACCACACTGTCTAGATTACCTTAGCTTTATACTGTCTTCAAGTTGGTTAGTGTCAGTCTTCCAACTTTCTTCTCCTACACTATTATATTGGTTATTCTGGGTCTTTTGCCTCTCTATGTAAACTTTAAGAACAGTTGGTCAACATCCACAAATTAACTTGCTAGGATTTTGATTTGGATTGAATTGGAACTACAGATCAAGTTGAGAAGAACTGATATATTGACAATATTGAATTTTTCTATCCATAAATATGGAATATTTCTCAGTTTACTTAGTTCTTCGATATCTTTCATTGGTTTCAAGTTGTTTTCATATAGGTCTTGGATATATTTTGTCAGATTTTTACCTAAGATTTCATTTGTTGGGTGCTAACGTAAATAGTAATGTATTTATAATTTTGACTTTCATGTACTCATTGCTGGTACAAAAGAAAGTGATTAGATTTGTATATTAACTTTGTTTCCTGAAATTTTGCTATAATTGCTTATTAGTTCCAGCAGATTTTTTATATTTTTTAAGATTTTCTACATAGATAATTTTGTCCTCTGTGAACAAAACAGTTTTATTTCTTCCTTCCCAATATGTATACCTTTCATCTCTATTTCTTATCTACTGCATTTACTAGGACTTCCACTACAATCTTGAAATGCAGTAGTGAGGGGGCATCCTTGTCTTCTTCCTGATCTCAGCAAGAAAGCTTCAAATTTCTCACCATTAAGTAGAATGTTAGCTGTAGGATTTTTGGTAGATGTTCCTCATCAAGCTTAGGCAGTTCCTCTCTATTCCAACTTTGCTGAGAATTTCTATCATAAATGGGTGTATTTTGTTAAGTGTTTTTACTTTGTCTGTTGATATGATTTTTTCCCTTCAGGTGCATAATGTGATGTTTTATATTAATTACTTTTCAAACGTTGAACCAGACTTGCATATTTGGGATAAATCATACCTGATTGTGGCTATAATTATTTTATACACTGTTGGATATAACTTGCCAATATTTTGTTGAGAATTGTTACATGTATATTCATGAGATATATTTTGCTGGTTTTGTTTTCCTGTAATCTGTTTGTCTGGTTTTTGTATTAGGGTAATGCTGTGTTCATACAGTGAATTAGGAAGTACTTCCTCTGCTTCTATCTGGTGAAATAAATTGTAGAGAAGTGGTATGATTTCTTTTGTAAAATATTTGGTAGAATTTACCAGTGAACTCTTCTGGGGCTGGTGCTTTGTGTTTTGGAAGGTTATTTTTTGTCAATTTCTTTAATAGATATAGGCCTATTAGATGGTCTATTTCTTTTTGTATGAGTTTTGCAGATTGTGTCTTCCAAGGAATTGTTTTATCTAGGTTATTAAATTTGTGGGCATGGTTGTTCATAGTATTCTTTAATTATCTTTTGGTGTCCATGGACTTTGTGATGATGTTTATTCTTTTGCTAATGATGTTAATAATTTGCACCTCTCTCTTTTCTTATCCTAACTAAAAGCTTATTGATTGTATTGATCTTTTCAAAGAACTAGCTTTTGGTTTTCCTCATTTTCTTCATTAATTTCCAGTTTCTGATTTCGTTGATTTCTACTCTAATTCTTACCATTTTTATCATAAATGAGTGCATTTTGTCAAATGCTTTTACTGTGTCTGTTGATATGATTTTTCTTCCTTCCTCTTCCTCCTCCCCATTCCCCTCGTTCTTCTCCTTCTCCTTTTCCTTCTCCTTCACCTTCTTCTTTCTCCTCCTCCTCCTCCTCCTCCTGTTAGGTTGGATTTAATTTGCTCTTCTTTTCCTATTTCCCTAAGGCAAAAGCTTAGAATTAATTGTAGATCTTTCTGGCAGGACACTGTGGCTCACACCTATAATCCCAGAGCTTTGGGAGGCCAAGGTTGATGGATCACCTGAGGTCAGGAGTTCGAGACCAGCCTGACCAATATGGTGAAACCATGTTTCTACTAAAAATATACAAAAATCAGCCAGGCATGGTGGTGGGCCCCTGTAGTCCCACTTACTCAGGAGGTTGAGACAGGAGAATCTCTTGAAGCAGAGAGGTGGAGGTTGCAGTGAGTGGAGATTATGTCACTGCACTCCAGTCTGAGCAATAGATCGAGACTCCATCTCAAAAAAATAAATAAATAAATAAATAAATACAAATAAAAAATAATTTAGATCTTTATTTTTTCTAATATATGCATTAAATGCTATAAATTACCTTCTAAGCATTGCTTTTGCTATATTCCATAAATTTTAATAAGTTGTATTTTCATTTAAAATATTTTAAAATTTCTCTTGCAATTTCTTCTTTGACCTATGTGTTACTTATAACGTGCTGTTTATTCTCCAGGTATTTGGGAATTTCTCAGCTGTCTCTTGGTTCTTGATTTGTATTTTAATTTCACTGTGCTTTGAGAGCAGACATGTATGTTTTCTATTAAATTAAATTTGTTAAGGTATGTTTCATGGCCCAGAATGTGGTTTATCTTGCTGAATATTCCATGTGAGCTTGAGAAAAATATGAAATGTACTGTTTTTAATGAGGTATTCTGAATATACATTACAGTCAATCATGTCCTTAGTGATTTTTTTGACTGCTTGAATCTGTCTACTTCTAATATAATAATCATAAAGTATATGTTTGGCTTTATAGGTAAAGTAGGATTTTGTAAACAACATGTAATTTTATCTTGCTTTTTTATCTACTCTGACATCCTCTTTTAATTGATGAATTCAAACCATTAATATTTGAAGTTATTATTGACATACTTGGACTAATATCTACAATATTTGTTAATGTTTTCTATTTGTTGACTTTTTTGTCCTTATTTTAATCTCTAGACTCTTTCTGCAATTTGTGGTTTTAATTAATTACTTTATACAATTCAATTGTTTTCCTTTCTTAGGATATCATCAATATTTTTTTAATTTGTTCAGTAGTTGCCCTTTGAGTGTGCAATGTAGATTTACTAATCCAAGTCCACTTTCAAATAACAAATAATATACTACTTCACAGGCAGTGCAAGTATTTTATGATAAAATATTCCTTTGGAGGGGGGTTGATGTCAACAAGATGGTAGAATAGAAAGCCCCACATTCTACTTACCCCGTGGAAACACCAATTCCACAACAATACACTAACCTTACCTTCTTTGTGAGTATCCAAAAACCAGTTTAGAGGCTCTCACTTCCCAGGCATGCACAAATCCAGCCATGTCAAAGCCTGCAGGAAATTTTGTGGTCCTCACTCACCAGATTCCTTCCCTCTGGTATACCACAGCAAAATAGATGGAAACTCCCAAACCTTAGCTTTTCCCTAGGAGGAAAAGGAAAGGTTATAACATACATCTAATCTTCAGACTTTTAAGGGTCTACTAAGAAACTGGTTTCTGTTTTGCCTGAATCTAAGTGCTGACTGGAAGGGCATCAGGTTTAGGGCTGCTGAGAGCAAAGGCAATAGTTGGAACCAGCACATAGCCAGTCACAGGAGAACTAATGCTGTGTGATTGCACTGATAAGAGTTATATAAATTAGTCATTTCATAGGAGCAGAAGGTAGAATGTTAGTTCTCATGGAATAAAAGATAAGGGAGATAATGGGGAAATTCACTGCATTGAATATCGAAATTCAGTCCTAGAAGATGGAAAAGTTCTAGAGATCTGCTGTATGAAAAGCATTTTAAGTCACTGTTTATAACAATTTTCATAATTATTTTTCAATAATTGTACGTTGATTATGTTTATGAGATAGTGAAGTATGTGAAGCCAAATATCAAGTACAATTTTTATCCCCCATAGTCTCAACAATTTGCCTTCTGTTCAATGTTTATGCAATTAAAAATAAATTTATTCACAAATGAATAAAGGAAAAACAATGAGCGAGCTATATTATAACATTATTTGAAATTATGCATTTTACAATCTATAGAATAAAGCACTGTAGCTAAATTTATACTTGTGGAAAACATATTACCGGTTTTAAAAATTATTTAGAAGCCATTTTTGCCATCCATTATTTCATATGTGTGATATGTGTGATTCAGATAATTGTTTAAAATTCTGTTTTTTGATAAATTTATGTTTGAACATAATCTGTTACATACAAACCAATAACTAAATGTGACACTATTGGTATCAACAATTTTTATGGCCAATGAGAGTAAAATAGGCAGAAACTTGTAAAGCTTATTGCACAGGACAATAGTTACACTGAATGATATTAATGAGAAATACTATTTTCATTTAGCTTCAATGCATAGTATAAATTGACATTTTCATTTGTAGAATATTGTTGCTCACTATTATTAGTAATATTATTATTTTTTAGATGGAGTCTTGCTCTATTGCCCAGGCTGGCATGCAGTGGTGCAATCTCGGTTCACGGCAAGCTCTCCTCCCGGGTTCACACCATTCTCCTGCCTCAGCCTCCCGAGTAGCTGGGACTTCAGGCACCCACCACCACGCCTGGCTAAATTTTGTATTTTTAGTAGAGATGGGGTTTCACTGTGTTAGCCAGGATGGTCTCGATCTCCTGACCTTGTGATCCGCTCGCCTCGGCCTGGCAAAGTGCTGGGATTACAAGCGTGAGCCACGGAGCCCGTCCTGCTCATTACATTTTCATATACAAATTAGGCTATTAGTAGTTATAGTTCTAAACTTCAGATTTTTAGTATTCTTGAAGATTGGATGTAGCAAGCATATCAGAGTTCATTTAGTCAAATTATAACATTGTAGAATGTTAGTACATCTCAGGAGAATTGATGGAAATTAAATGAACTTAACTTTCCAAGGGACAACACAAATTATGATGGCATTTGCCAAGGTCTTAGGAGGAGGGAGAAACAAAAAACCATTGCTGTTCAATGGGTATAGAGTTTCAGTAGTGCAAGATAGAAAAGTTTTAGATATTTGCTGTACAACATTGTGTTTATAGTTAATAAAACTATGCTATACACTTTAAAAATTTTGTTAACAGGATAGATCTCATGTTTTTTTTTCCACAATAAAAAAAATTAAAAAAAAATAAGGAACTGATTTCTAAGAAATATGAAAGTGCCACAGAATTGGGTTGTGGCTTTATTTTTTTTTTTGTAGTTAATGAAAAGACAATGTCTAGGAAAATAACAGAAGCCTTTAATCTTTTTCTGTAAGAAAATATAAATATTTATTTGTAGTTATAAGACTAAAGAATAACTCCCATTTTGTCCCATAGACAGATAATTTACTAATAGCTAATACTTATTGAATAATTGCTATATGAAAGACCCTGATCTAAATACTTTACATGTATTAATTTATTACACATCAGTTAGTAATATTATTTACAATTTAACAAAGTAAAAACTCATGCTCAGAGAGGTGAAGGGTCTTGCTGAAGATCACACTAGTTACAACTGATTGAAGTCTACTTCTGGAAAATACACTTTTAGAGATTTCACTATCCTGCCTTTTGTAGTTCTCAAAATCTCTTATTTTTAAACAATTTATACTAGATGGAAGAAAAAATCATGTTAATCTGATCAAAACATACCATGGGAATGCACTGTTGTACTTCACCAGAGTTGACAGAAATTAAATGATATATTAGCATGCTAAAGATGGCACTGAAAATACTGCTACACTCCTAGCATTCTGTAATACAATGAAAGGAGAATTAAGGAATTTTAGGAAATTATGCTATGCGATATTTGCAAATAAACACATGTATAGTCTTTATCTCTACATTTTGCCTTTCTTATTTAAAAATAACTTTATTGATATAACTCACATATAGCATAATTAATTTATTTAAAATGTACAATTTAATCTTCTGTGTGCAGTGGGTCACACCTATAATCCCAGCTACTCAGGAGGTTGAGGTGGGAGGATTGTGTGAGGCCAGGAGTTTGAGACTAGCCTGGGCAACAAAGCAAGACTCCTCTCTAAAATATAAAAATAAAATAATGTGTCCAACTTCATGGTTTTTAGTATATTTGCAAATATATGCAACCATCCCAATTTTGGAACATTTTCATTACCTCCTAAAGCAACTCTATATAATTAAAATATCAGCCTCCTCTTTTCCCAGCCTGTCACCATTAATTTACTGTTTGTCTCTATATATTTTTCTATTCTTGACTTTTATATAAAATACTCTTCAGTTTTCATATTATATAAACTTTTGTGAGTGACTTTTTTTTCACTTAGCATAACATTTCTGAGGCTCATCAAAGTCATGGCATGTATCAGTGTTTTATTTATTTTCAAGGTTGAATAATATGACATTGTATGAATAAACCAGATTTTGTTTATTCATCCTTTGATGGATATTCGGATTGTCTCTATATTTTGGAAATTATGAATAATACTACAAACATTCTTGTGTAAGTTTTTTCTGTGACATATATTTTTATGTATCTTGGGCATGTAATTAATAGTTGCTAGGTCATATAGTTACTCTATGTTTAATTGTTTGAGGACAAGCCTAACTGTTTTCCAAAGTGGTTGCACCATTTCACATTCCCACCAGCAGTGTATGACAATTTTAATGTTTTCACACCCTCATCAAACCTTGTTATTATATGCCTTTTCAATTCTAGCCATCCTAGTGGGTATGAAATGGCATCTCATTGTGTTATTTTCATTTACTTGATAATTTATGATGTTGAGCATCTTTTCATCTGCTTATTGGCCATTTGTTTTTCTTCTTTGGGGAAATATTTATTCGGATACTTTGTCTTTAAAAAAATGGATTGTCTTTTCATTGTTATACATGTTCTTTATGCATTCTAAATACAAATCATCAGATATGTGATTTGAAAATATTTTCTCCCAATCTGTGATTTTGCCTTTCACTTTCTGTATGTTGCCCTTTGAAACACAAAGTTCAATTATTTTATGAAGTTTAGTGTACCTATTTTTGATTTTCTTTTGTTGCTCATGCTTTTGGTATGATAGCTAAGGATCTCTTGCCAAATTCAAGGCCATAGATATTTACCCTTATATTTTCTTTTAGGAGTTTTGTAGTTTTATTTCTAACTTATAGCTCTTTTATTTCAAGTTAAATTTTGTATATGATTAGGTATGAGTTCACCTTCATTCTTCTGTATGTGGCTATCCAGATGTCCTAGCACCACTTACTGCAAAGACTATTCTCTCCCCAGTTGAACAATCTTGACACTCTTGTAGAAAATCAGTTGATAATATATGTGGTGGCTTTCTCCTGTACTCTCAATTTTATTGATCTATACTTATATACTTTTCCAGTATCACACTTTCATATTTCCTCTTTTAACATAATATCACAAGATAGAGAAGAAAAAGCTTTCTGATAGAACATAAATTTTGACCTATGTGCCACTAATTTAAATGTAACTTTTATCACATATATTAGCTGAAAATTATTGAAATTAACTGGATTGATAAAAGCAAAAAAGTGCAAAATTAATTGATTTTCCATAATTGTATTTTATAATGATCTTTGTTCCTTCAATTAATGTCTTACATGTCAAATAACATGTAAATTTGTATTTTTAATCATGAAAATAGCTACTTAATATTTAATGAGCCCATACCTAGCTCTAGATGAGTTACTATTCAGATTAAGTTCTGAAATCCTTCATTTTACAGGACATTATCTTCTTCAATATTTCCCATTGACACTTTTCC
Source organism: Homo sapiens (assembly GCF_000001405.40). Classification (NCBI taxonomy): domain Eukaryota; kingdom Metazoa; phylum Chordata; class Mammalia; order Primates; family Hominidae; genus Homo; species Homo sapiens. The sequence goes on from NC_000013.11 coordinate 81,417,319, forward strand.
AGCTTTTTAAATATCTTGTGTTTTTCTTTCTTCTACAGAAAAAAAGGTTTCTTAAAGATATTACTCTTTCAAATGTCCTTTATATTTTTAATGTATTATCTCAGTTATCCTTGATTTTAACAGACAATTTTTATATTTTGCCCCAATCATCTTACAAAATATAAAATCACAAATACAAAATAAATATGTAGATAAAACCTACCTTTATACATACTTTTATAATCCTAACTCTTCAGTCTAATCTAAGAGCATATTACTTGTGTCTGCATTGTTTAGGGAGAATAAGTAACTAGAGGTACATTATATGTACTGGCCCTTTTACATGAGATTATTTGCTTCATATCTTGTAGCAAGAAGGTCCAGAGTTTGTTTTGATACAGAATTTTTCGTCTCTATTGCATCAGACTTTGTAGCAAAGATATATACCCAAGGAAAATACCCAAACAACTTAGTCTTTGCCACTTCATTTAGATAATTCAAAATGCATTTTAAGATTTATGGAAGAAGAACCTCCTTTTTTCAGCCCCAATGAAATCCTGTTCATATTATAGAGAGTAAAATAATTTTTCTGTCCTGTGAAAAGGTATGTATCTTATAATAGGAACAAACAATTATTGAGAGCCCCAGTGTTTAGCAGTCAATGTAAATAGCCCACATGTAGAAACTGAGGAAGGTACTACTATTAATTTTACAGATGAGGAAATTGAAGCATGGAGCATTTGAAAAAATTCTTCAATAGTACACACCTCAGAAATGGAGGAAGGAAGATTGTTGTCCAAGCTGTGTGGCTGTTTCAGCTTTATATGCTTTTTTGCTGTATTATCAAATTATTATAAGAAGATATGCTAGAGCATAATATTTCTTATTTCACAACTCTATGTGAACATAACTGCAAATCAAAAGGCAGATAAACAAGATAAAAAATTAAAGAGTGATATGAGGAAGAAATTGTAATAGATTTTTGTGAATTATTTATTTAAACCTTAAAATAATTATAATAACATAATAATACCAGGTCCTTATTCATGAGGCCCTGACTGTAGCAGACACTCTGAAAGTAATTCTGTATATATGAAAAATGTATTCAGTCTCTGCATTAATCTATATAAGCAATAATGCATAAGTGAAGGCCACTTGGACTACACGAATGCCCCAGGGATTCTTTCTTTATAGGAAATATAATTTCTAAATAATTAGAGTTGACAATAACTCATTAATAAATACGGGGAAAGGGTATACTAAACTGTAGAAAACCATAATGTTGAGGATTATGGTTGGTCTGCATGTCCTTTTTTATGGAATTTCATACATAATTTGTTATATTAATATTTCAAAAACCTCAGCATAAAATAGCAAACAACAAGTATAGCAACACATTTATCTCAACTGGTAAACACATTAAATTCCAATCAATTTAAGTTTTTATTGCACATTTCTTATTTCAACTTATAAATCTTAATGTTCATGTGAGTTTGAAAGTTTTAGAAGCTCAAATAAACTAATTGAATAATGGTTATTTAACTGATAATCTTTATTTCTTGCAATTATTTATCCTATAAAAATAAATTATGTAACAAATGTTATAATACCCCAGAGTCATAATACCAATTTGTTGCACGGAAATTTTTGTTTAATTGACAAAACTTTTCAATGCATAGTGATAATTAAGAAAGTTTATGTTTATAGTACAAAATATATTAATATGACATAAAAATACATCGAAAACACATTATTATATACCTAGAATTATTTATACTGACATATTTATAATGATACAACATACATGATTATTATAATTCATATAATTTTATACATGCAGTTAACCACTTTGAGCACATATTTTTCTACACAAAATAAACATATCCATATAAAATTACTTACAATTAAAGAATTCCCATTATCTTGCCCGTTGGATTAGGAACATACTTTTAGATTTGAAGATTTCAATTAACTGAATGGTATGTTTCCCCAGAATTTTTATAGGAATTGCATTGAAGCTGTACATGGCTTTGCACAGTATGGTTATTTTCATGATACTGATTCTTCCAATCCTTGGGGATGAGACGTATTTCCATTTTTTTGTGTCATCCATAATTTCTTTCAGCAGTGTTTTGTATTTCTCGTAGAGATCTTGTATATTCCTAGGCATTTTATTTTATTTATTTTTTGTAGCTGTCATAAACGGAATTGAGGTTCTTGATTTGATTCTCAGCTTGGTGTTGGTTGTTGTTGAATAGAAGTGGTGAAAGTGGGCATCTTGTCTCATTCCAGTTCTCAGAGGGAATGCTTTTAACTTTCCCCTTTCAGTATGATGTGGGCTGTGGGTTTGTCATACATGGCTTTTATTATTTTGAGGTATGTTTCATCTATGCCTAGTTTGTTGAGGATTTTTTATCATAACAGGATGCTGGATTTTATCTAATGATTTTTCTGCATCTATTGAGATGATCATATGGTTTTTAATTCCATTTATTTGATAAATGACATTTATTGATGTGCATATGTTGAACCTTTCATCTCTGGAATGAAACTGGCATGATCATGATGAATTATTTTTTTGATAGGTTGTGGAATTTAGTTTTCTGGTATTTTGCTTAGGATTTCTGCATCTAACGTTCATCAGATATATTGGTCTGTAGTTTTGGAGTGATACTGGCATTGTAGTATGAGCTAGGGAGCATTCTCTCTCAATCTGATGGAATAATTTCAGTAGAATTTGTATCAATTCTCTGAATGTCTGACAGAATTTGGCTATTTGTTTGTTGGCAGTGTTTTTTTTAATTAGGAATTCAATATTTCTGCTTGTTTTGGTCTGTTCAGGATTTCTATTTATTCCTGATTCAAGCTAGGGTGATTGTATGTTTCCAGAAATGTATTCATTTCCTCTAGATTTTCTAGTTGATGTGCACAGAGGTATTTATAGTAGTCTCAAATGATCTTTCATATTTATGTGGTGTCAGTTGTGATGTCCCCATTTTCATTTCTAATTGAGCTTATATGAATCCTCTCTCTTCTTCGTTAAACTATCTAGTGCTGGATCAATTCTATTTATCTTTTCAAATAATCAACTTTTTGTTTCATTGATGTCTTCTTTTTTTCTGTTTCAATTTCATTCAGCTTTCCTCTGATCTTTGTTGTTTGTTTTCTTCTGCTAGTTTGTTCTTGTTTCTCTAGTACTTTGAGGTGTGACATCAGATTGCTAATTTCAGACTTTTTGGTGTAGGCATTTAGTGCTGTAAGCTGTCCACTTATCACTGCTTTTGCTGTATCTCAGAGGTTTTGATAACTTATGTTACAGTTATTATTCATTTCAAAATTATTTTTAGTTTCCATCTTGATTTCACTGTTAACCCAAAAAAGTCAGTCAGGAGAGGATTGTTTAATTTCCATGTATTTGTATAGTTTTGAGGGTTGCTTTTGAAATTGATTTTTAGTTTTATAACACTGTGGTGTGCAAAGATACTTGATATAATTTCAATTTTTAAAAAATTATTGAGATTTGTTTTGTGGCCCATTGTGGTGCACCTTGGAGGATTTTCCATGTGCTGATGAGAAGAATGCATATTCTCCCATTCTTGGCTAGAATGTCCTGTAAATATTAGGTGCATTTGTTCTAGGCTTCAGTTATAGTTCAGTGTTTCTTTGTCAACTTTCCCTCTCAATTATCTGTTTAGTGTTGTCAGTGGAATGCTAAAGTCCCTTAAGGTTACTGTTGTGCCATCTCTCTCTCTTTTCTTAGGTTTAGTGGTAATTGTTTTATGAATCTCAGAGCTCCAGAGTTAGGTACATACATATTTAGAGTTTTTATATCTTCTCGTTGAATTGATTCTTTTATCATTATATATGACTTTCTTTGTCTTTTTTAACCATTGTTGCTATAAAGTATGTTTTCTCTGATACAAGAATAGATACTCCTGCTCACTTTTGGTTTCCACTTGCATGAAATATCTTTTTCTACCCCTTTACCTTGAGTCTATAAGAATCCTTATGTGTTAGGTGTATCTTCTGAAGACAACAGATATTTGGTATCTAATTTTTTTAAATCCATTTTGTCAATATGTGTCTTTTAAGTGGAGCATTTAGCCATTTCCATTCAATGTTAATATTGAGATATAAGATATTTTTCCAGTCATCATGTTGATTGTTACCTAGTGATTTTGTTTTCTTCACTGTATTATTGTTTTATAAGCACTGTGAATTCTATGCTTAGAAGAGTTCCTATTCTGCTGCATATCCACCTTTTGTTCCAAGATTTGTAACTTCTTTTAACATTTCTTGTAGGGCTGACCTAGTATTAATAAATTCTCTCAGCATTTGCTTATCTGTGAAAGACTTTATTTCTCCTTCATTTATGAAGCTCAGTTTTGCTGGATACAGAATTTTTGACTGACAGTTTTCTGATTAATAAGACTAAGGATGGGATCCCAATACCTCTGCCTTCTAAGGTTTCTGCTGAGAAGTCTGCTGTTAGTCTGATAGGTTTTCTTTTATAAGTAACCTGATGCTTTTGTCATACTGCTCTTACAATTCTTCCTACACATTGACTTTAGATAGCCTTTTGACTCTCTCTCTTGTGATGTACTTCTTGCAATACATTTTCCAGGGGTTCTTTGAGCTCTTGTATTTTGATGTCTAAATCTCTAGCAAGGCCAGGGACGTTTTTCTGAATTATTCTCTCAAATATGTTTTCCACACTTTTTACTTTTTCTTCTCACTCAGGAACACCTCTGATTCTTAGCTTTGGAAGTTTTACATAATCCCATATTTCTTGAAGACTTCGTTTATTTCTTTTAATTGTTTTTTTCATTATTTTTGTCTTATTGGGTTAATTTGAAAGCCTCATCTTAGAACATTAAAATTCTTTCTTCTACTTTGTTTAGTCTATTGTTTAAATTTTCCGCTGCATTTTTAGTTCCCTAAATGTGGCTTTCATCTCCAGAAGTTATGATTGGTTTTTCTTTAAAATATATTTCTCTTTATAAAATTTTTCATTCATATTCCAAATTGTTTTAAACTTTCTTTGTGTTGGTTTACACCTTTCTCGTGATTCTCCCTGATTAAATTAATCAACCTTTTGAATTCTTTATCTAGTATTGTAAAGATTTCTTCTTGGTATGGATCCACTACTGGAGAGTTACTGTATTATTCTGGGGGTTTTATAGAACCCTCGTTTTTTCATACTGCCAGAATTATTTTTCTGGTTTCTTTTTATTTGGGTAGACTATTTTTTTCCTATTTGTTTTTGATTTATTTTTTATTTAACTGGGGTTTTTTTGTTTGTTTGTTTGTTTGCTTTTTCTCTTTTTTTCTCCTGAGGATGTGACTTTCATGTTTGTAGTTTATTGTTAACTAGTTTTGGCTCTTGGTCCTTTCAGCAGCAAAGACTCTGTTTGAGTTTTCTAGTTATAGAGAACATTTGTGTGATGGCTTTCTCAGAGGCTGGTTGTAATAGCAATGTGCTGGACGTGTGAGTAAGTTCACAGTCTCTTGTGGGGAGTTTTCCTTGTGTTTCACAGTTTAGGCTGCTCCTTCTTTTAAAGCGTCTGTGGTTTATTGCAGTTTTTCTGTTAAGTTCCCATGTTGCTTCTTGGAAAAAAGTTCACAGCATGAAGCTCTACACACTATTTTATCTTTACAAGTAAAAGAGGCATACTACAATGCCCCCAACCCACCATCTTGGAAAAAATATTTAATTATTTAAAAATACATATCAAAATCTCATTACTTTCTACTTATTTTACTATATTTTAATATTAGACAAACTCTTGAGGTTATTCACAGCTGTTGTGCCTGTGTGCTGAAAACAGACTGGTATGTCTCAACATCTCCCTTCACAAGTCAGCAGTCAGTGATGTCCAACTGGCAGCTTAAAATCAAACATGATGAAAGTATGTACACCAGAGAAATCAGAAAACTCTGATAATCAGGGCTTATTGCTTTTTGTTGTCTAGACTTAGTACAGTGGTAGATAAAATAATAATGAAAATTTAAGATGTGTGGGGTCTATGAATACTACTTTTTAATATCTAAAAAACAGAAAAGTTTTCTAGTATTCAAAAAGTATTATAAAATGTAGCAAATAAGTCATTTGTGTCACTGGAGAATAGTTAATGTTATGATATATTCTTCATTGTTTTACTTTTATCTTTCTTATTAATGTAAATAAAAATAGCAATTAACTTTATGTTTGAACTACACTATTTCATCTATTCATTCATCTATTGCTAGAGAGGAAAGAGTTAGGCAAAATGAATTCAGGCAGTTTATGAGGATTGCTGAGCTATATGGCATTTATAATAAACAACATTGTATATTTATTATTTAAAAATGGTGCATTCCATATGCCATATCATATATCCTGTATATCAGTAAAGTTTATAATAAATTTACATGCTTATATACAACTAGTTTATTTTATTCCAGAGAACTAGTGTTTAAACATTACCAGCATATTAGTAGATATAGCTCTGTACATATTCTGGCTGATGATTGATTCCTCCCCAATGATTGATTCCTCCTAAAACTCCTAGGGATCCAATTTATCTGTACTAAGACCTACAGACTAAGAAAACCAGTTAAGAAATGCCAGGTCTCTGTGAATGTTATTATCTGATTCACTGGAAATATGCATGGATACTTTACACCAAAAAATGTCGACAGTGGAAATATAATTCGTGGTTATATGCCAGCACGTTTACCTTTACTGTTATCATTAAAGCAGTTAAGCTGCATATCTCTTAAGCTTTAAGTTATATAAGGTAGGAATCAGAAACCAGCCATTTCTGTCCCTGATAGAAAATGAGTCACATATTATATACCCCAAGTATTCTCCAGAAAGTCTCTCTCACTAAATTGAGACCAATATAAAACATTATATTATCTATATTTCAAATAACTCAACCCAAACTGAAATGAGGTATAAAGTATTTTTTTCCCAGCAGAATAAACTTCCAGTGTGATAACTGGCAATATATTGTGTTGTCACTAAGAAAAAACTATGCTAGATGAAACAGGTGCTGTAGATAAAGATGGGAATAGCATAGTAGTAAGTTCCAAGAAGTATTTGGTGTATTAAAAAGTTGTTTGTAGATGACATATCATTGAACTTTGATTTTTAATGAAACTACAATCTCCAGCTGCTAAAATTTCCTGGATGTTTACTATCTCCCACATGTTACACATATTACCACACTGCACATACTACATACATGTATACTACATTCTACTACGCTAAGCAATGTATCAACTCTATATGAAAAAATCACTTGTATATACATACATACAAATATATATGTTAACAAATATATACATACATATATAAAATACACACACACAGTTTCAAGATCACATACTTAGCAAGAATGTGAATTAGGATTTGAACCAAATTTTTGTAAACAGTAAGGTTAATTTTTGAAAGAGTATTTCATAAAAGTAACTAATAATTTCATCTTCAATGAATTTCATATCCAGGGGAGGGGATATGTAGATACACCCAGACATACAATAAATTGAAATAGATTTTGAAGAGTTAAAAACAGATTTTGAAGAGCTAAGAATAACTTTGGAGCTTATTAAATTACATCTTTCATTTTACAGATTAATAAGTAAACAACAAAAAGTCAGAGTTTGGTTTAGTTCTAAGTAGCAGAATCAGAACTCTAGTTTTTAGTGTATTTTCACAAGCTTAACTGAAAATATGATATTAATGTCATATTTTTACATCAATTCAATATAATTTAGTTACACATGAGTGGAAAAATTATATGACTTTTCTTTATAACTTCTCTTATTGAAGTATGTTTATATTTACTTAATTTTTAATATAGCATCTGATCTTACTCAAAAGGATAATAAATAAATACTGACTCTGTTCTCAAAAATTGCATTGTTCATAACCTCAGAAAAACTATTATGAATATGAACTGTGGTATTTTATTTAAAATTATTGTCCTCAAAGGGTGTTAGAGGACAAATTTACAGATTATACCAATTCTTTTGTATCCAAATTCAAACTAATGACTAGAATTCAGATAGAAAAATGTGGAATTACACATTTGAGTTGGAAATGGCCTCTTAGGCTTTTTAGCCTGTCTCCCTGCAAGTAGGAGAACCAATTTAATCAAACAGTGTGAAGAGAGTGACAGATGAAAAGCACATCAATCCCAGTAGGTCTGGCATGACTTGAAAGACAAAATCTATCACAATGAATTAAAAGCACAACGTAAAAGAAAAACAGACAGAAAGACTTGATTTATATGCCCGCTCTATCAGAGCAAGGATAATGATTGTAGAAGCCATCTACTGGAAGCACACCCTAGCTGTAGAGGAAGAGTGTCAGACCAGCACAGCCTCCAACTGACAAAGCAACATAAACTCTACATCTAACTTAGCCATTAGTTGAATCATTTAGACTTTAGAACAACTTATAAAACATTCAACATAATGAAAAGTTTAGACACTGCACTTTAAAGTTGTTGAGATTTTTGCATGTTCTGGGTAACTTAAAATTCCATTAGAAAACACTTGGAAAACAAATCATTGGAGTGTACAAATTTGAGAAAGGACATATTAAATATTGACATGTCAGAGAATTAACTCATTGGCTATACTTTGAATCTTCGTAATATTGGTAAGGGACATTTATTATCAGAAATAACATCTAAATTTTAGGTAATCATCTACACAAAACATCGAGGAAATAATGCAGATCAATTCTTTACATTTTCCCATAAAGTATTTATCAACTCCATCTTCCTTTGTGGAGTGTCTCTATTTCTGTTCTGCTTTTTCAATTTTGACTCATTGTTTTTTTCTGATTTTTTGTGTTTTTTTTTTTTTTTGCCTATTTCATCCTGACTCCACATTTCTACTTCCTCCTTCTAAATTACATAGCCTTAGAGTTAGTTATTTTAGTGCAGGGTTGATTAAGGATCTTCATGTCCTCTGCTCAGAGGACAGAAATGAAGAAAAATAAAATATTCCAATTGATATTCAGACTAGAACATCTGAAATAAAGAACAATTTTCTGTTGATAATACTGCAGTTGATTAATCTATGATTAAATTTTCTAGTCATCATTTTAAAACACTTATCTATTTTTTAGTAATTCTTAAGGTTTTTTCAATTATTTTAATTTGGTAGGGTAAATAATCTCAATGGACGTGTTTGGCCTTGAAATGTTGATGGGATGGGTGGGATATAGAGTTTTTTGTTCTACTAGCAATGTGATATCTCATTGTGGAAGATCTCACATATGTGTATTTTGTATTTGTTGAATAATTATAAATTTAAATATATTCACACAGATCTTTTGATAATTGGGTGAGGAAAAAAGTGAGAGTGTCTTTTGTAAAATCTACATATGAGTATGGTTGCTTGACTATCTTTGCCACTTTATTGTTATAATAAATAAATAAAATATATTAAAGAATAGATATTTGCAAACTAATTTTATATTATTTAACTTATTGCTGTGACTTGAATGTGTCTCTTAAAGTTCATGTACTGAAAATTTAATCCCCAGTGCCACAGTGTTGAAAGGTAGAAGCTTTAAGACATGATTAGGTCATGAGGGCTCTCCTCTCATGACTGGATTAATACTGTTATCACAGGAGTGGGCTATTTATTATAACAGTGGGTCCTTCATTTAAAAAATGAGTTTGGTTCCCTCTTCCCCTCCATTCTCTTCACCTTCTTCATGTCTGCTCCCTTGCCCTTTTGCCTTTTGCTGCAGGATAACTTAGCAAAAACGTCCTCACCAGATGCAGACTCCTTGACCTTGGACTTCTCAGCCTTCAGAACTGTAAGATATAAATTTCTCTTCCTTATAAATTAGCCAGACTCATTTCCTCTGTTATAGAGGCACAAAAATGGACTAAGATGCATATAAAGAATAATAAACAGGGCCAGGCATGGTGGCTCATACTTGTAATTCCAGCACTTTGGGAGGCCAAGGATTGTTTGAGGCCAGGAGTTTGAGACCAACCTGGTCAACATAGTGACAGCCTGTATCTACACATGATTTTAAAAAGCTGGGTGTGGTGGTGCACACCTGTAGTCCCAGCTATTTGAGTGGCTGAAGTGGAAGGAGAGCTTGAGCCTAGGAAGTTAAGGGCAGTGAGCCATGATTGTGTCACTCCACTCCAGTCTGAGGGACAGAGCAAGATCCAATCTTAAAAATTAAAAAAAAAGAATAATAAACAATAAAAGTTTGTAGATTTTCATTTGACTTTCAACATTGTTAGTTATTCCCTACAAAGCAAATGATGCAGGGTTGAGTTTCCCTAAAAATAGGATGAGGAGTCAACATGTACTACTTTACTATTGAAAAAGGATTAAGGTTAGATTAAGTTTTCTTTAAAAACAAAACCCTACATTTGAAAAGCAGATCATGAAACTATAAAATATTGACTAGACTCTCTGACTTCATGGGAAGAGGATATTAGAGAAAATTGTTAGAAAAGAATACTTCAAAACAAGTGTCGGGAAAAATTTTCTCAATGCCTAACATATTCAGACACAGCTGAAAAATAAAATATTAAAAGAAAGACGTTCAGCATGTTTCCCACTTTATAACTTTTGACTCTTTGGAATATTTATACTTGAAACTTAACTTCAATAAAACAGCATTATTATTCAACCTTATATGTTTGGGAGAATTGTCATAGTTTATATTTCTTTTAGTCTCTACAGATACTGTATGAGAAGAATTTGTGATAAAGGCATCCAATAACACAGAAAATGTTTGAATAAAATATTTTGTGTTTAATGAAAGCATATTGAGTACTTCCTCCAGATTACGTATGAAAAGCTAACATATGAGTTTTTAAGAGCAAATTTACTGTTTTTTCTTTTTTTGATAATTGATATGGTTTGTGATATGACCAACCAACATTGAATCTAAAAATAATGTCAGCAATTGGTTCAATTATTTTGCTGCCTATTAAATGGTGTGATATCTGTACTTTATAAGTCAGCGTAAATCTTTAAGGAAAATCGGATTTAATATCTATCATTTTCTCTCATATTCAAATGGTACTTAACATGGTCAACACACACACACACACATACACGCACAGAATTTCCTTAAGAGATAAATTCTTAGGTAATGATTATATAAATAGAGAACCTTTTAAAAGTAAGTTGACACCCAAGGGGTTTTAAAAGTAAATTTTTTGGGGATCTCAGCAAATTGTGCTAGAAAAATTGTAAGTATAAGCTGAAATTTTTGGATTATATAAACATAGAATGAGAACTATTATTTTATGTAAATATAAAATTATAAACATATTTTCTAAGCAGAACTCAAGATTGCAGTACCAAAAGTAGTTAAAACTCATCTAGTTTGGTCTTTAAACTTTATATGAGACACTGTCTTTGTATAACTGAAACTAAGTTCCTATGGATAGATATAAGCAATCTCATTCATTACTTAAATGCTGGCTAAAGAATTTCTATAAGTTGGTCTTCGAAAAAACTGCATAGACGTTTCCTAGGATCATGTACTTAAGAGGAATCTCAAATATGTGAAAAGAGTCATTGTTAATTTTAAATTGAAAGAAAAAAATCTAGATAGTGAACATAACTAAGTAGAAGCAAAGTCACTAAGACATCAAATTGTTTAGAATTTAATTTATTTAATTTTCATTATATGTTATACTTTATTGTGATACTTAATAATTGCAACACTTGTCCATAAAAGCATTTTTTGCTGCACTCAGCTTCTACTCGTTTCTACTCTATTTTCAAAAGCCTTGTTAAAAATTTACGTCCTATATTCAAACTCATTTCCACATACATATATTACTCCATGGATTACTTGCTAGATACAGACATTATATAGACTTTTAAAGTTAGAATTTATAGCATTTACATAGTTTATTTTATGTAGGATTTATATTACAGTTTTATCTGAATAGATAGTCAAAGACTGTAGGCCACAGAGAGGCAAGAAGTGAAAAAGAAAACCACTTAGCTCTGTTGAGCTACCCAGAGACTAAGAACTTAAAAGCACCATCTTCAGGATAGGATGCCAGTCAAAATTATTTTAAAAATTTATTCATAGGCACAGGTGTTACCATTCCTCAGTTTCCAGACAGAAAATGTTGGGAAACAGAGCATCTGATTGGATATCAGAGACTTACATTCCGGAAACATTTTTTCCCCCAGGAGAGACAAGGAAATCTGGAATACAACAGAAGAGTGTACGGGGTAAGAGGTGAAGCAGAAAAAAATAAGAGGATGGGTTGGAAATCTGCATGCGAGACAACTAGAGTACTGATCTTGTTTCCCCATCCAATGTGCAGACTGAGAACAGGGATTTTAATATCTATAGATAAAATCAGTGGGGGCCTATTAGTCTCATCCCCCCAAAAATGAAAGTCCTCAGAAAAAATAGCATTATTATTACAGGTTGCTTTCACATCCAAATCTATTTGCTTAATGAAATATGTTTGGATAATTGTGACAAGTAGATCTTAATGGCACAGGGGTTTCCCTGGGAAGCTGAATCTGACACGGAGATTGAGGTAAATGGAATGTATTGAAGAGTGCTCTCAGGATCAATACATGAGGATGAGAAAGAAACAGAGGTGAGCAGAGAAAATGTTGAACTGAAGTTCAGGTTCAATGAAGGTCTGAGCTAATTCTCTGGTGATTCTGGATCTTAATCCTTTACAGTTGGACTTTACGCCAACCTATTCAGCAGTGTTCAGTTGGGGAATGTCCTAGGAAGAGATGGGTGACTTTCTTGAGGTGACTCTTTAGCTGAGGTCATGGAGAGGAATTAACTGAGAGCTGTTAGCTGCCAGTATTCTCTGTTAGATAGAAAACTGAGGACTTGGGTTCTGCAGGCCAACCATAGGCAACTCATGACATAGTCCACTATAGTGCACCTTTATTTCATACAACTTTAGAAGTCTCAGCAGTTACTGTATCACAATCTAATTCTCCCTCTGCTGAATTCTGTTTTCTTGAGTTTCCCAGAGTCACTGATGCCAAGAGCATTTTCCAGTACATTTCATGCATGCAAATCTGAGTTTATTTCTGTGAAAACCAACTTATGATATTTGCCCTCAGTGACCCAGTGAATACATACTTTCAAAAACTTGCAATTTTTGTGCTCTAGGTTTAGAAATTTTAGTTCCTAGAAGGAAAATTATTCTAACAAGTGGCTTTTTAAGAGATTCACTAATCCTCAGATTAAGACTGCTCCCTGCCCATTCATTTTAAGCTACTTGTCCCAAAAGACCAGCAGTCAGTAGAGAAGTCACTATCCAGTCAGGGAGAATTCTGATTATTAGGATATGGTAGGCTTTCTGTGACCCAATGGGATAAAGGAATATGTATAGCATCCAAAAGATCCATATAGTGTGTCTTATGCTCTTCATTTCAATTTTATTGGTAAATTGACAACTGGTAGCAAGGCCTGAGATGGGAATGGTGTGGGGAGGATAACACCATTCAGCTATGAGGATTTGAGTGACTCCATCAAGTAAATCACCCATGCCCGCAAAGGAACCAGCTGAGGCTGAGCAGTCTTAGGATGGTAGAGGAAGAATATGGTAAATATAAATTGTGGTCTTCAGACCAGATGGTTTAGAAAAACTATAAAGTGTTTCTGTAATTGTTATCTTCAAAATTTCCCCTAGAAAAAGGGATTACAAAAATGGTTTTAAGGAGCTTTAGTTAATAAATTAGGATTTGAGACATACTGCAACCAATAAAAACAAGGGCAAGATCAATAAGAGAAAAACAACATATTTTTGGAGTTAAAAAATAAAAATAAAATAATTCAAAAACATTATTTAAGGTAAAATTGAGAAATACTTTATGACAATAAAACAAAACAGTAAGAAGTGACATAAATGAAATACAGGCATACCTTGTTTTACTGCGGTTTGCTTTATTGTGCTTTGCAGGTACTGTGTTTTTTACAAATTGAAGGATTGCAACAACCCTCTGCTGAGCAAGTTTAGCCTAGTGCCATTTTTTTCCAATAGCATGTGCTGACTTTGTGTCTGTCACATATTGGTAATTCTTGCACTATTTCAAACCTTTTTATTATTATTATCATATCTGTTATAGTGATCTGTGATCAATAATTTTTGATATTACTACTGTAATTGTTTTAGGGTGCCACAAACTGTGCCAATATAAGACAGCGAACCTAATGAATAAATATGTTTGCTCTGACTACTCCATCGACTGGCCCTTCTCCCATTTCTCTTCCTTTCCTCAGGCCTCACTATTCTCTAAGACACACAATAATAAGATTAGGCAAATTAATAAACTTATAATGGCTTCTAAGTATTCAAGTGGAGTCACAAGTCTCTCATATTGAATCAAAAATGAAAAATGATTAAGCTCAGTGAGGAGGCATGTTGAAAGCCAAGATAGGCTGAAAACTAGGCCTCTTGTGCCATACAATAAGCCAGGTTGTGAATGCAAAGAAAAAGTTCTTGAAGAAAATTAAAAGTGCTACCCCAGGGAACACTAGAATAAGAAAACAAAATAACATTATTGCTGATGTGGAGAACATTAGGATAGTCTGGATGGAAGATCAAATCAGTTGCAACATTCCTCTAAGCCAAAGGCTAATCCAGAGAAAAGCCTTTACTCTCTTCAATTTCATGAAGGCTGATAGAAGTGAGGAAGCTGCAGAAGAAAAGTTTGAAGATAGCAGAGGTTGTTTCTGGAGGACTAAGAAAAGAAGCCATCTCCATAACATAAAAATGTAAAGTGCTGATGCAGAAGCTGCAGCAATTTATCCAGATGATATACCTAGGATAATTGATGAAGGTGGTTACAGTAAACAATAGATTTTTCATGTAGATGAAACAGCTTTCTCTTGGAAGAAGATGCCATGTAAGATTTCATAGCTACAGAGGAAAAATCAATGCCTGGCTCCAAAGCTTCAAAGGACAGGTTAACTCTTCTGTTGGGGCTAATGCAGCTGGTGACTTTAAGTTAAAGCCAGTGTTCATTTACATTCTGAAAGTCCTAGGGCCTTTAAGAATTATGCTAAATTTGTTCTGCCTGTGCTCTATAAATGGATCGGCAAAGCCTGGAAAACAGAACATCTGTTTACAGCATAGCTTGCTAAATATTTTAAGCCTACAGTTGAGACCTACTGCTCAGAAAAAAAATAATTTCTTTCAAACTATTACTGCTAATTGACAGCACACCTGGTCATTTAAGAGCTCTAATGGAGCTGTATCAAAAGATTACTGTTGTTTTTTATGCTGCTAACACAACATCCTTTCGGCAGCCCATTGATTAGGAGTCATTTTGACATTCAAGTCTTATTAGTTAAGATATATATTTAGTAAGAAGACATATATATGTGTGTATATATGTATATGTATATAAAGAAATAAATTTTGTAAGGCTATAGCTGCCACAGATTGTAATTTCTCTGAATAATCTGGGCAATGTAAATTAAAATCCTTCTGGATAGAATTCACCATTCTAGATACCATTAAATACATTCATGATTAATGGGAGAAGATCAAAATATCCACATATTTAACAGGAATTTGGAAGAAGCTGATCCCAACACTCATGGATGATTTGGAGGCATTCAAGACTTTAATGGAGAAAATTGCATATATGGTGGGAATAGCAAGAAAACTAGAATTTGAGGCACAGCCTAAAGATGCAATGGAATTGCTACAATGTCAACATAAGATTTTAACAGATGAGTTTCTTCTTATGGATGATTGAAGATAATGGGTTCTTGAGATGAAAAATATTCCTGGTGAAGATGTCATGAAAATTGTTGAAATGACAAAAAAAGGATTGAGAATATTACATAAACTTAGCTGATAAAGCAAGAGCAGGGTTTTCAGAGGATTGGTTCCAATTTTGAAAGAAGTTCTACAGTGGGTAAAATGCTATCAAACAGCATCACATACTACAGAGTAATCATTCACGAAAGGAAGAACCGATCAATGAAGCAAACTTTATTGTTGTCTTACTTTAAGAAATTGCTGCAGCTACCTCCGCTTTCAGCAACTACCACCCTGATCGGTCAGCAGCCATCAACACTAAGGTACGACACTCCAACAGCAGAATGATTAAAACTCCTTGAAGGCTTTGATAATAATCAGATTTTTTTTAGCAATAAAGTATTTTAAATTGAAGTATGTACATTTTTAGACATAATGCTATTGCATACTTAATGACTACAATGTAGTGTAAACATTACTTTCATACACACCATATAACAATAACATCTGTGTGACTAGATTTATTGCAATATTTTCTTAATTGTGGTGGTCTGGAACTGAATCTGCAATATATCCTAAGTTTTCCTATAAATTTAAAATGAAAGATGTAGAGTATCTATTTATGAGAGCATTAGTCCGTTTTCACACTGCTATAAAGAACTACCTGAGCCTGGGTAATTTATGAAGGAAAAAGGTTTAATTGACTCACAGTTCCTCATGGCTGGGGAAGCCTCAGGAAACTTACAATCATGGTGAAAGGTGAAAGGGAAGCAAGGTGCATCTTTACATGGTGGCAGGAGAGAGAGAGAAAGAGAGAGAGAGAGAGAGAGAGATGGGGGGAATGCCACACCTTTAAACCATCAGATCTTGTGAGAACTCACTATTATGAGAAGAGCATGGGGGAAACTGCCCCCACGACCCAATCACCTCCCAGCAGTTTCCTCCCTAACATGTGGGGTTTACAATTGAAGATGATATTTGGTAAAGGACACAGAGCCACACCATATCAATGAGGTAAAATATCTTTAGAAAATGTTTAGAGATGATGAAAGAAAAAAATGCAAGAAAAATTCCAATAACTGAAGGCCTCAAGTTTTCGAATTGAAAATGTTTTTGTAATGAAAATTGTAATAAATATTTTTAAAAATCTGTTTTCATCATCAGAAAACAGAACACTGGAGATGTAAGGAGAATCTTAAAATTATGCAGGTGGAAAAATTTGAAAAAAATACCCAAAAAACTACATTTTGGTCACAAACAAATTAGCGAAGATGAAAATAGCATTTCTCAGAAGCATCAGTAGATTTTTAGAAAAAAATTATGACTTTGACATTTTCTGAGGAAAAAACAGTATTTATTAAGTTTGAGAATATGATAAATATATTTTTGGATTTGTAATGATTCAGAAAACACATTTCTCATCCCCAAATTCTCAGGATGGTTTGGAAAGATATGCTCCAGAATATAGTACAATATACCTTAAAATGAAAACTGTTAGGACCTTGAAAATATATCTGACTCAATTAAACAGCAAATAAATAAATACAATTTTCTCTTGACAAGTTGCAAATTATTAAACATTACTAATTCCCTTTCAAGATCCTAACTGATATGATGACAGAACATCAAGAAGTAAGTAAATCGGACTTGCAAACACAGAAATCCCAAGGAGAAGACCTAAGACCTTGATCGTAAGACTGTTAGAAAAATACCAGCCTACATGAGAAGGAAGGTGGTTATGATACATGGAATTTAAAATAAAGAAGATATGATTAAATGTGCTTCTTTCTTGGAAAATGGACCCCTAAGTCAGTGCTTTTTTTTATACTTTAAGTTTTAGGGTACATGTGCACAACATGCAGGTTAGTTACATATGTATAAAGCAGAAAAAAAATGGTAACAAGTTTGGCTGAATTACATTAGATGGCTCCAGCATCCTGCAGGAAAAGCTAATGTTTTTACTACATAATACAGAATATCGATGAGCTCATTTGTTCTTTCCCTTAACACCCTCTCCCTTTATTCAGAGGACTAGATTTTTAGAGTTGAAGTCGATAGTTCTTCAACACCTTGTTTTACATAAAATATAAGACTATAATGTCAAATTATCTTTCTCATGGCCCTCTCTTCATACCATCTGGACACATTAAATTTCA
Source organism: Homo sapiens (assembly GCF_000001405.40). NCBI lineage: Eukaryota > Metazoa > Chordata > Mammalia > Primates > Hominidae > Homo > Homo sapiens. Next base: position 81,435,203 of record NC_000013.11, read on the forward strand.
TGCATGGTAGTATAATATCTCTCCTTAAGATAAATCTCAAGATAAGATGGTTAGTAACTCCAGGAGAATATTGTACCCATGGGGAAATACAGTGAGTGCAATATTCGCCTGGCTAAATTATGGCTGACATGAGAAACTCAACCATAAATAAAAACAACAGACTTCCTGTTTCTAGTACAACATGTCAAGAGCTTGGAAGTTGTCACTTCAGTCCTTATAACAAGAAAAAAGCTGTACAAACTGAAAATCAGCAATTCTCCCTAGATCTGTCAGAATGAGCCCAAACTGCTGCACCAAAAACTAGAAATATAGGCAAAAACAGAGAATCACAGCTATCTGGGAAAAGAGGATATTGCCCAAAAGTCAGAAACTGATAGGAATAATTAAAGGATAATTGGTCGATTGCTGAGGGCTAAGCATGGGCTACATTGAGAGTTAAAAAATTGTTCAACCCTGTCTCAAAGGGTACACCTAAACCTTTATGATTTTTACCCGCAGGAGGCCCACCAGATTTTCAGAGTGATATTGGAAAAAATCTTCTCCTGCTTATCACAGGCGAAGGGTGAATTAACCATTTAAAAATATTGTTCTAGCATGCTCTTCCCTTAACAAAAGTGTGCACCCAAGGAAAACTATCTTATTAGTGCCTAACAAATTTAAGTTTTACCAGAGCCTAAGTAACCTGGGGAAGGAAAGTATCTAATTCCAGTTTTTTCACATAAGAAGTGTCAGTGATAGTGAAGGTGAGAAGCACTCATAAAGGTCACAGCTCACAAGCACTGACTCACTGAAGACTGAAACCTAATTATGAGGTTATAGAACACTTGGGTCACCCCGCACCATCCTGCCATTTAAATCAGGGTTAGATACAACAACAGAAATTACAGCTGAAAGAGCTGAATGTTTCAGACATTGTTTAAGAAGGAGTTTCTAGGGAAATACAAGACAACAAAGAAGACAAAAATAGAACTCAATACAAAATTGCAGGTTCTGACATATACAGCTACAGCAAACAGCAAACATAGCCTAACTTCCAGCCCAACTCATTCTACGAACCAAACATTATTATAACACCAAAGCCAGAAAAATATAAGAAAGAAAAATTACAGACCAAAACACAAAGATGCAAAAATTCTCATAAAAATTTAGAATAATTATACACCATGTCCATGCCACATTTATTCCAAGTATACAAGGTTATTTCAACTTTTTTTATTGCAATTTTCATTTCCTAGCATTTAAAAAATTCATTCATTTTTTAATACATTTCCCATCTTACATTACTTATCTGTTCTTGCATATTGCCTACTTCTTACATTAGAGTTGTTAGAAAATCTATCTTAGTGGTTGTAAATTCATACTCTGATCTTTTTCAAATCTTTCCCATATCCGAGTATGGTTCTGAAGCTTGAGCTGTCTCTTCAAACTGCTTTTTGTTTGTTTGTTTTGCTTTTAGTATGCCTTATAATTTTGTGTTGAAAAGTGGACATAGATAGGAAACAGTAACTAAGACAAATAGGCTTTTTTTGGAAGATTTTATATTTATCTGGCTAAAAGTTAGACTGTGTTTACTGTTTAGTGTAATTATAGTGACAGAGGCTAAATTTTTCTTTAAGGTTATTCATTTGTTTGGCTGTCCTGTTGGCTTCAGTTTTCCCTAGAGATTTCTTAAGGTGTGAAACATATTGTTCCTTTAATTTTATTCTCCTGTTATTACATAGGAGCCCTACAAATGTGGCGGTAAAGTCTAGAAGAAGAGAGGACATGTTACATAGTCCTTTAGTTAGTTCTCACCCCCTTTACTAAGCCTGTGTTTTGGGCTGTGTGTGGCCATCACAAATGTTTCCCAGTATTTTTGTTTGGTTGGTTGGTTGGTATTTACTCCCTTAAGCAAACCAGAAGGTTTAAGGGGTCTGAGGCTGGGTGTTTTCTCTTTTCACACATGGAAAGTCTAGAGGGACTAATTTTAGATATTTCTCTTCCCTTGGGTCTCCTATACTGTATTGGAGCCATAGTCTGTTGGGGTCTGGTAAAATAGCTTCCCTTGAGAACAGGCCCTCTAAACAAGAACAGAATGCTTTCTGGGTGTATTTGAAATGGTTGTTTTTTTTTCTCTGCCTGCCAGAAGAAATAAATTTTCTTCAGTCTTTACCTTTAAAGCCCAGTAGTTCTCTTAGAGGTAAAACACTTGAAAGTGTGGGGAGCCCTCTAAGACTCAACTCATCACTGGAATTTTTAACTTTCAGGATTATCCAAATACAGAACATCCAGCAATTTGCCCGTCATAGTTTAAGTTTTCCTGCCTGTCTCTTCAGTTTTCTAGGCAGCAGGTTTTCCTTTGACATTAATTATTTAATGGATCTAAAAAGACTTATTGACGTTCAGTTTGTTCTGCTATTTTTTTTGTTGTTGTGTGGACAGGAGTAAGCACTTCACATCCTTACATGTCACACCGAAAACTATAAGCCTGATTACATCTTTTTCTATTGGAGGCTCAGATGAAAAAATATGTAAATATAGTAGTTATATTTTGGATTAATAATAGAGAATGTTCTATTTTAATATATAAAATATTTTATTTTGAAATGTTCCATGGAGTGACAGACAAAACAACTTCATACAACCACAGAGTCTCCCTAGACAAAATCCCTTATCCCAGTTAAATGCAGTTTAAGAACATTGATAAAGATCAGCTCAACAAAAATGCAAAAACTTTCAAAGAAACAAAAATTATATCAATGTCACATTTTTTTTCAGGAGCAATTCTAAATGCAGGAATATAGCAAAGATATAATGAAAAAGTGTTGAGGACAATAACTTAGAACATATAATTTTAATGCCAGGGAAAATATCATTTAAATGCCAGGAAAAATAAACGTACCCTTGGGCAACCACAGGTGGTATATCACAGGAGAAGTCTGAAAACACTTTCAGAGAAGCACTATTTCAATATGAGAAAGAATTCATGAAAACTTAATACAATATGAGAATTGCATTTAAGTAACAGTAAAGCTCTCAGCTGTCCAAATAAACAAGTTTCAAAAATAAGATACAATGTGAAACTGTATCTTTTGTAGAGCTGTTTTGAATTATCAGCCCTGCATAAAAGGGTTTACATAGTCACAATGATGTTTATTCAATTAAATATAATTTTATAAAAGTATTAGAGTATTAGATTATGAATAGAGTGTATTGAGATATATATTTGTATTATTGTAAGAATGCACTATACATTATCTAAATTAGATAACCAAATAGATAAAAATATAAATGTATTACACAAAACTATGAAGTTAATTATCAAACTGGAAAACAGCTTAATGAATTTAAGGCTTACAGGGTGACTTTACACAAAACTATGAAGTTAATTATCAAACTGGAAAACAGCTTAATGAATTTAAGGCTTACAGGGTGACTATAGTACAAAATAATTTCATTGTATACTTTAAAACAACTCAAAGAGTAAATTTTAAGTACTTGGGGGGATGGATACCTATTTACTGTGATGTGATTATTACAAATTGTACGCATGTAACAAAATATCTTATGTAATCCATAAATGTATACACCTACTGTGTACCTATAAAAATTTAAAAAGTAACAATTTGTAAGATTAACAAATTTTAGGTTCTACTGAGATCAAGAATATTTGGAGTTGGGAAAAAAAATAAAGTTTATGGTGGAGAATACTATCTAGTCACCAAATCCACTATTCTCTTTTCTCATAGTAATGGTATATCACTTCCCAGTGAGAATCTGTCTCTCAGCTTTCCTTGAAGTAACATGAGGATAAGCACCTCATGTACTCAGTAGAAAGTGAGTAGACGTAAAGTGTGTTACTTCTTTGTCTGGGTTTTAAGTCACTAAGTGTCCTTCTTCCAAATATTTTTTTCCTTACCTTCCTTGGCCAGAGGTTTCTGCACATTATTCCCTGCAGGGTGATTAGGTAATGTTTCTGGCTTCATGGCTTTTGGAGCCATGAAACTGGCTCTAAACTGTACAAACTGTACAAAATGAAAAAACTGAAAATCAGCGATTCTCCCTAGATCTGTCAGAGAATAAGCCCAAACTGCTGCACCAAAAACTAGAAATACAGGCAAAAACAGAGAATCACAGCTACCTGGAAAAAGAGGATATTGCCCAGAAGTCAGAAACTGATAGGAGTATCAGTTTCACTGATAACACTACCTTTAATAGTGTTACAAGGTTGCTTAAACCAGCTGTTGTGGATTTTGCTGTTTTCAACTAAGAAAATTTATCAATTAATTATATCTTTTATGTTTTTTATTAAACTATGCATGTAAATTATTTTTCTAGATAAAAAACTGAAAATATAGATGTTAATTTCTGAAAATACAACTCTGAACAAAGAACATGGAAACATAAAGAGCCACTCCCTAGTAATGAAAGATTCCTTTATTACAAGATGGTTTGGGTTTTCACTTGTCCTCTACCAACTTCCCTGGAAATGTACAAAAGGCAAAGTGGCAGGAAATAGAGAGTGTCTCTGTTGGAGTACTGCCACATGCCTGAGTCTTGTGCATAGCACTGTGAGATGATGAGAATGTAAGTAACTACATACGTTCCTCCGATCTCCTGCCTGTAAGATTCCCAAGTAAATCTGCCTCATGCCTATACCATGTGTCATTTACATTTTCATCCATGCCCTTGGACTAGATAGTTAGCTTATATATTTCATACAAACATGAAAATGTTTCAGAAACAGCAGCATAATTCCTAATTATGTTTAATTATGGCTTCAAATAATAGGAATTAATACTGCTTTCCTTTTTTTTCAGTAAATACCCAGGAGTGGGAGTGCTGGATCATACAGTAGCTCTATTTTTGATTTTTTGAGGAACCTCCAAACTGTTCTGCATAGCAGTTGCCCTAATTTACACTCCCACCAACCACATATAAGATATCTGTGCTCCCGTGTTTATTGCAGCACCATTCACTATAGCCAACACTTGGAAGCAACCTATGTCTATCCACAGATGAAAAGAAAAAGAAAATATGGTACATATACACAATGGAGTATTATTCAGCCATAAAAAAGAATGAGATCCAGTCATTTGCAACAACATGGATGGAACTGGAGATCATTATATTGAGTGAAATAAGCCAGGCACAGAAACATTAGTACCATATGTTCTCACTTATCTGTGGGAGCTAAAAATTAAAACAATTTACCTCATGGAGATAGAGCATAGAAGAATGGTTACCAGAGGCTGGCAAGGGTAGTGGGGAGGAGGGGGGGGGAATTGGGGGATGGTTAATGGGTACAAAAAATATTTAGAAAGAATGAATAAGACCTAGCAGTTTCTAGCACAACAAGGTAACTATAGTCAAAAATAGTTTAATTGTACAGTTTATAATAACTAAAATAATATAATTGGATTGTCTATAATAAAAGGATAAATGCTTGAGGTGATGAATAACCCCCAAAATAGGAATTAATAAAAACATTTAAAATAAAATGATCAAAGAAAATGAAAATTCCAGATGCTATTTATGTATTTGTGACTTAAAATATTATAAAATAGTCTTATTAAACTTTAAATGTTATCCTTTAGTCACAGATGCACAATATTTTATCAAAAGTGAAAAGAACTATACATTATAGCATAGAGATCCTGGGGTGACCATTTCTTTAACAATAAAATGAAAGTGTCTAAAAATATCCTAACTGCAAATAATTTTTCAATAAATAATTAATTTTTAGACTGGATTAACAGACATAAGTGCTAAATAAATACTATTTTCACTTTTTTTTCCCCAAGTGGGAACAATAAAAGGAAATGTCGGTCAAAATTTTATTTTAGTTTTATAAAATGTTAATGTAATGCTTAAGAGTCTCAAATATGTCTTAAATTTTAAAATAACAAAATAAGATTTGACAAAACATCAAGAATCCAAAAAATATATTTTACTGCAAAGGGAAAAATAGTTTGATGATTGTACCTGCAAATTTCTATGTCAGTAGAGAGGCAGTAAAACAGTGGGATTACAATGAAGTATTCTAGAGCAAAGCACACTTATATTTTATTCCAGTTTATACTACTTTACCAACCATTTAAGTTTGGGCATTTTACTTAAATATGAGTCTTCTTCAAGAACCATATAATAAAGGTAACAAAAATATCTGAGTGTATGCTACATCTTAAAATCGCCATTTCAAGTATGTACAATTATAATCATCCCCATTTTATACTTAAGAAATTTGAGAAACCAAATAATTAAAATATTGTTTATGATTAGCTAGGTTTTAAATAGCAAAGCTGGGACTCAACCTTAGTCTGATTCCAAAGTCCATGCTTTATACCACAACTATAATGCCTTTAATAAGGTGCTGTATGATTAGTGGAATAATTATATAAGATAATGCATTTAAGTTGTGTACAGCCATTGCTCAATAAATGTTAGCTTCTGTATTATTTTTGTTCTTAAACATTACAATTCTGAATTATTTTAACTAATATTCATATTATTTTGTTTTAATGATGTGTACATTGAAATACTATGGCTCCAGCCTTACGTACCTTAGATAAAATACTTGACATTTACATTATAAAAACTGCTTCACAAAATTGTTCCTATTGATAAGACTTGATTCTGCCCTTTGTCTGTATATTACTGTGGATTCTTTTAGGGAAAGGTGTCAAATAGGATTTTGCCAAAGTTGAACTCAGGAAGGGAAGAGAGTAGAGACTGAAAGAGGAGGGTAAAGTTGGGAGTTATTTAAGAGGTGGCTGAATAGGGCCAGGGATGGATTGACTATGGTTATAAATAAGGGAAGACAGAGGAGTTAGAGATTTGCAGGACCTCCAGGATGAATATCAGGTTTCTAGCTTGGGCAACTGAGTTACTGGGTTACTGGTATACATAACTAAGAATAATAATAATAAATAAATAAGGAGTTAAACTTTAGACATGTTGAATGGGTTTTTCCTATTGAACGTAGAAGTGGAAATAATTTGGCAGCTGCAGGCCTTAAATTTTGAAAACTCTGGAAGAAAATGTAATTCTAAGGATAACCAACATATAAGTTAGAGGCTGTTTTAACTGGACCAAGACTTACCACTCTACGTCTCCAAGCCAGACAAAGTTTCTCTTTATCACATAATATGTAAAGAAAAGTGATGATCCTGATTTATGTCCCCAGGAGCTAGAGAAGAGATGGAAGTGCAATTTTTACCTTGTTCAGATCTGGAGTCTAACATACATTTACACAGTAGGATTCTTGCAGGGTGACAGAATTAAGTTAAGAAGAGAGAAGAACTGATCAATGTAAGTGAGAAAGAATAATAGATGGCATAGACCTAGATGAATGCCTAGGAGGTAAGTAGAAGACACCAATCTTTAAAAGACCACATAGAGTAACTATAGAATAGGAGAAGGGACTTACAAGGCATCTTTAAGATTCTGGAACTTTTGTTACTTTATTCATGCATTTTTTTATGGGCTGTCGATTTCCTTTCCTAATTAGCAGTAAAACCCTTAAAAATAATTGCAGGGAGACTTACTGCCTCATTAGAAGGGTAAAGGAGCCAAGTTTAAGAAGTTGTTCTCCAAAGATGATTTTGAAGTGAGAGGATCTTAAAGGATAAAACAAATATAAAATATTGATATCTTAAAAGGTAGTTTCTCCATTTTTATTCCCTTAGACCTTAGAATGAAATAAGGATCATAATGTATAAAATGAATGTATATACTCTTCTTTCCACTCTCTGCCTTTACACCCATTTTTCTTTACTGTGGGATTATTTTTATTCCTCTAATACAGAACTGATTAGGTGTGAATTCCAGGCTGATTGCTGTGTATTCACCTTTCATAAAGGTCTCTATGTGGCAATAGAAAGTATTTGTTTTGGCCTAAGGGCTTCTAAGTATTATGAAGGCTTAAGGAAACAGGTTTCCACAAGTCTGAGATTTTTTTTTATTGGTTTCTTCTGTCAACTTGTGTCTGAACAGGCTTTTAAAATACCACCAGAGTTATTTTGTAAGGTGTCCCTGACCCCATCAATGCAAGAGAAAGAACAGAAGGGAGCGAAGGACAAAGAGAAAAAGAAAAAAAGAAAGCTTTAGACAGTATCAACATTTTATTTCTATTTTGAAATACATATACATAGTCTACACTTTAAAATGGAGGTATATGTTTATATGCAGTGAGGAACTGATGCTTCAGTTTTTTTTTTTTATTACTGCGTAATAAATTTTAAAAATAAAACCTACATCAAAAGACAACACATATTTACTATCTCACATTGTCTGTGGGTCAGATCCAGGCACTGTCTACCACGATCCTTTGCTGAAGGTCTCAGAAGGCTATAATCAAGGCATTGGCTGGACTGCATTCTCATCTGGAGGCAGGATGAACCCTCTTTCAAGCTTTTTAAGTGATTGGCAGACTTCATTTCTTGTAGGTGTATGACAAGGGCCCCAGCATTTGTTAGATGTTGGCAAGGAACTGCCTGCAGGTCCTAGAGGCCGTTGGCAGTTCCCAGAGGCTTCTCACAGTTCCTGGCCTCTTGGGCTTTTCCAATATAACTGCTTATATCATCAAATCAGCAAGATTTTTCTGAGCTCACCTGGAGCCCAGGCCCTCTTTTAAGCACTTTCACCTGATGAAGCCAGTCCCAGGCAGAACCATCTCTCTTTTGATTAACTCAAGCCTACTGATTTGGGACCTTCATTACATCTGAAATGTCCCTTGACCTTTCCTTTATTTCTCTACCTATCTGGCTCTAAATATTTAGAGCTGCTTACTGCCGCATAGCTTGGATTATCCATCCATGTTGAATTTGAACTGTATTTATTAATGTAAGGGTGCTTTAACATCATATATGCGCATATGTATGTGTGCCTGTATATATTATATTTGAAAGGTGATAGGTTAGAAATAAATTAAACAAACCAGCTCTTCTACACTTTCAACTGGGATTCCCCTAGGAATCTTGAAATCAACATTTCAGTATATTTTATCTTATTTTGAAAGTGAATCCTCTATTTGATATATTTTATATTGGTTAATTACACTAATATCCAATAGGAAACTGAGAGCTATTCTATATTAAACAGACCACTGTGCAGTTCTTTCTTAAATTCCTTCTAATTAGTTAATTAATAAGAAACTTAATTAGAAGAAGGTTAAAAAAAAAAGTAGTGAGTTTTAACAAGTGAGGACTTGTTAAACAGAGTTTGTTGGGCCTCACCTCAAGAGTTTCTGATCTCACAGGTCTGGAGTAGGACTTAAGATTTCCATTTCTACCAAATCCTCAAGAGATGCTGATGATGCTGGTTCCAGCACCAGCGCTGGGGATCCCTCTCTATTGCTCTGCTCCAAATTAAGTTGTGCCAGTGATAGAGAACACCTGGTCAAAATGAAGTATGTTCATGAATTCTCAATTGTCAGGTGCCGGATGTTTTAAAGCAAGCTATAGGGATTAAGGGAACTAATGAGATTCTCTGTCGGATAATTTAAATGTTAGCATTAACAAGTCATCCCCAGTTGTGTTGAGAGCATGGGCTGGCAGACAGGAAAACAGCAGGCTAAGGAATCCATGTGAGCTTCAGAAATTATCAATAGGAGAATCTCTGAAAAATCAGAAGCCAAGTTTGCGCAGATACAGAAAATCTAGTTAGCAGTAGCAGCAGTAAGAAAACCAAAAGACCTAGCAGAATGTGAATTAGTGTTTAAAGGAATATTTTCTCAATATGAGGTGGAGTGATGGAGAAGGGTGAGTAAAATGAGTTCCTAGAGCTGCGAAAGCTTTCTAGTTACTTCTGGTCTTCATGAGGCCCAGCTTTTCTGTGTTCCCCGTATTTTCCATGAATGCTTACCTTAAGCCTTTTCTCCAGGTTCCCCTGAAATCTACTTTATCAAGAATCCTGTGTTGTTACAGTAATGATATACATTTTAGACCACAAGCTCAAATCACAACAAACATGTCAAAATCTCAATCATGTACTTTCCTATTGTACTTCCTAATTGTCATATTAACATAAATGCCTGGATGAATTTTTACTCATTGTAATCCAAGGAATCTAACATACGCACTCATCCTCCCTCACCTGGCCCCAATCAAATATACAAACTATCTTGAGCTCACTCAGGCACATCCATATTCTGTAGTAGCCTGCATGGCACAGGCTGATAGTAAATAGATGAGAGCCCAGCAGGACAACAGGTGGGAAAAGGAGTAGTGTAATGCACCCTTATCTAATACACATTCTCAATGCCTTACTAGTAATTAGAACAATGTTAGTGATAGATAATTAAATAGCACAAAGGGGACGAAATATGCCAGAATCTAAAGCCAAGATCAAAGTGCTGTTGTAGGCATTTCTCAGGTAAAGAGAGCATCACAGACAAATGTCTCAAGGCAAGAATATTTCACAGGCTTGTGTAGCTGAAGAGTGAACGGCTGAGAATGGCAAGAAAGGGCACGAAGGAGAAATGTGTAAAATGGAAAAGAGGTAGTGTAGGGCCTTGTGGGCCATTGTAAGAACTTTAGTTTTTACTCTGAATACTATAGGGAGTGATGAGGGTGTTTTTAGCAGAGGAGTTACACGATTTGTCTTCTTTTTTAAAAGATTGTTCAGAATGTAAAGAGAGAGAGGTTTAAAAAAAAAATGTAAAGAGAACTGAGAATGCCTGTTTAATGAATGAGCTCATTATCTTTCTTTATGAGTAAAGGGAATGTTTAATAAGACAGTTGTTAGTTAGCATGTAGTCTAGACATTAAAAGTTACTATGATGATTTTGATAGCTAGGATCATTAGCTAATTATAACCTGATGCTTTCTTCTCTGTTACTGGGACTTAGCTGCCTGATAGATTAGAGAATTGAGTTTATGAGTCGGCGCATAAACTCTGGAACTGCAGCACACTGCCAAAATTGCAGGAGATGTTTAAATGGTGTTTCTCCCTCCAATTACGCACTTTTCAAATCAATGCTATGCATTATCTGTACATGAAGATCTTGAACTTTAGGTCCCGTCTTATTCTTCAAGTTCTCACAGTTACCGACTTGCATTTTCCTTTCTCTGTTGCTTGTTTTTTGGTTATTACTAAAATAATTAAACCCTACCAATCTCCTAACACAGATTAAAATACTACTTCCTTTCTGAAGGTTTTAAAAAACTGCCCTAGTCAGGTTCAGAGGCTCCCTTCTTTGCCCATCGTATATACTTTACACACCCACAGTATAACTTTTATCACATTTACTCTCATTTGTTTGAAATAGCAATGAATTCCATGAGAGCAGGATTAATGTCTTATCCAAATTTAATAAGTCTCCCAGGGCTGCAAGGCATGGAACATCACTTTGTGGCATATGCATAATATTGGAAGTTAATAAATATTTGTTCAACAGCTGAGGAATGAAGTATCCATTTGTTCTTTCCTGCTGGTTTGTTCAATGGCTTGTTATTCAGTACCTGGTACTTGTTCAATCTTGTGCCTTCCTCAAGTGAGATCTTATGTGTCACTGTAAATTACTAAATTCAGAGGGAGTTCTTATAAATTTTCATGTGTCTCTTCCCAATAATGTTCTTTGTACTCTAAATGTGGCTTGATTAAGTTAGGTCAAAAGACTAATGATCTTTTTAAAATTTCAGTTTATCTTTAGGAATATTTTTAGTGTTCCAGAAAACACTTTGTAAAATGTAAAAAGCATTATACATTTGTAATTATTCTTGATTTTATTATTCAAAATAATTGCTTATAAAAACAATGAAAGAAAGAAGAGAGGACATTAATAGTAACCAACACATTACAACATGAAGAGGAACAAAAAGATACATACTACATGACTTTTCAACTGGCAATATAGTATTTTGAGACCATCTGAGGACCGCAAAAATCAGTGCACATGTAATTTCTACCAATGATTAAAGCTTATCAAGAAAATGTTAAATTCTATCAAAATATTCTGATTAATAAAGGAAGAAATAGTGTTTAATCAGAAAGACTGCCAGCAAAATATAATTTCATTATAGAAATAATGAGACTAGAAAAGTGACGTGCTTTAAAAAAGGTAAAGAAAGTCGGGCGCGGTGGTTCACACCTGTAATCCCATCACTTTGGGAGGTCAAGGCAGGTGGATCACCTGAGGTCAGGAGTTCAAGACCAGCCTCACCAACATGGTGAAACCCCTTCTCTACTAAAAATACAAAAATTAGCAGGGTGTGGTGGCCGGCACCAGTAATCTCAACTACTCAGGAGACTGAAGCAGGAGAATCGCTTGAAAACCCAGGAGGTGGAGGTTGAAGTGAGCCGAGATTGCACCATTGCACTCTAGCCTGGGCAATAGAGCAAGACTCTGTCTCAAAAACAAAAACAAAAACAAAAAACCAGTACACACATAGATCTGTTATTAAAGTTGTATTCTGGTTTTCATACTGTGTCCCAGAGAATCTAAACAAACTTTTCATAAACATTGAAAATAACTGTTGCTTTGTCATATCGTAATGAGTTAAGTAATAATAATTATAATAACAGAAATAAAGCATAGAAACATTATTAATTACCCTCCTAAAAACCTCAGAAAATCACTCCTTCAGACAAAATAAATACCTAGCACCTATTGCTGGTATGACTGGCTCCTAATGATGTTGTTTATGCCTTTTGTGTGCCGTATATGCAGCATTTTAAAAAACGTGTGCTCTTTAAAGATGTGGAAATGCATTCATTTCTTTTTTGTCCTTTCTTCTTTTTTTAAGAAAATATTTCTTAACTCTACAAATGTCTTTCAATTTGTGTGTGTGTGTTTGTGTGTGTGTGTGTGTGTCTAGAGGAGAGAATGAGACTATCATTTTAAATAAGAAATACTTCACCATTTCACTATTACATGCACAATACAGAGCTCAGAAAAAAGTAAAAATATATAAGCTATAATGAATATTTGTAAATATATCTGTTTTCTCTTATGGTAACTAGACAAAGTGGCAGATTAAGGATATTACACTGGCTTTGCTCTGCAACAATTGAGACAAAAACCATATATTTTCCTAAAATATAAAGGCTAAGACATGGGATTTCTTGCAAAACTGCTTCATAAAGCTACAGATTTTATGTTTGGATTAAAGTAGGTTTTGCCTTTGGCGTGTTTTTCTTTGTTACTCTTTTTCTTTTTTCATAAAATTGTTCATGCAGCTGTTTTATTTTCAAAATACAGGCTACTCAATGCATTTTCCCATTGTTTAATAACTTATTTCATATAACAAATTCAACCTAGGACTCATACTACCATTTTCTATTTTCCTCTTTATTTGGCATGTCATAACAATATTGATTCAAGAAAATACCTAAACTCAATTTGAATATGAAATGTCAAAATTCAGAAGAAGAATGAGTCATATAGTGAACTTATTTAGACTATAGCAGATTAAATGAGCTTTTAAAGAAAACCTTTATATGATGCATTAATAAAAAATTTTTGACTGTCACTGTAGACCTTAGCATTGCTATTGCTATAAGTAAATTAAGCACATACTAAATAGAGTCTTAAAGTCTGAAAATTTTTTGAAAGAAATTTTTAATGCCCAATGTATTTTTGAGAAAGTTACATTTTATATCATAAATGGCATTAAAGGAAACAATTTTACACTAAGACAAATTTAAATAAATGTAAAAATATGCAACAACTAAAATGTCAATATACTATTATCTAAAATATGATGACTATCATTTCCTTTACCTATTGCTGCATAATTGACTGTTCCAAAGCACAGTGCTTTAAAACAACAATCTTATTATTTTCATAAATTTGTGGGTCAGAAATTTAGGCAGAGTTTTACTGGGCAGTTTTATTCCATACAGCTTTGGTAAGGGAATTATCTCAGCTTATTCAATGGTAGCTAAGCTGGTGTGCAGTGTCCAAGAAGGCTTCTATTGTCTACCTGCTTTGTTCAAAGGGGCATTTACAAAGCTGGGTTCAGCTGAATCTTTCTTTCTCTTCAAGACATCTCAGGTCTCTTGTAAACACTCTTTCCAGCAAGGTAGCGAGATTCATATAATAACTCAGAACTCCAAGAGGAAAAAAGCAAAAAAGGCCATTTCTCTTAAAGGCTAGGCCAATAATGAGCATAGTGTCATTTTAACTGTATTCTATTAGTGACAGTCACAGGCCAGCCAAAATTCAAGAGGAGTGGACATCGCCTCCACTGCTCAATGGGACAAGAAGCAATAGATTTGCAGCCAGCTTTAAACTGTTCATGTGACATGTTATTTCTCCCTGTCTTCTCTATGTACTGTTTTATTTAAAATGGAAAGATAATACCAAATTAAATGTGCATTTGCATAGTGTATGATCTTTACATACTTTACAATTTTTTATTAATTTTGTGAGATTCTCAGTAATTATGATGAAAACCAGTACACCCTGAAACATATTTCAAAACAAAAATTAATTAGAATCTGAATTTTTCATTGCATTTTCACATGTATGTCCCAGTCAAGAATACCAGAAGTAAAACAAGGAAACAGCATACAAAAAAAAATTCTCTACCAGTAGAAGGGGAAATAAAGCTTCAAGAAAGGAATTGTGTGAAAATTCAGATGTAAAAAGGTGGTATGTGCTGATATGCATGTGTGTGTTTGCATCCTGCTTTATATTTGAATGGAACATAAATAGAGGAAGAGAGAGACAAAAATAAAAGACAGAGTAAAAAGGTGCAATGAAGAAGAAACATAATAGAAAGCTCAATTATATATACTGATTGTGATGGTTAATATTGAGCTTCAACTTGATTGGATTGAAGGGTGTAAAGCATTGTTCCTGGGTGTGTCTGTGAGGGTGTTGCTAAAGGAGATTAACATTTGAGTCAGTGGACTTGGAGAGGCAGACCCACTCTCAATCTGGGTGGGCACCAACTTATCAGCTGCCAGTATGGCTAGTATAAAAGCAGACAGAGAAATGTGGAAGGATTAGACTGGCTTAGTCTTCCACCCTACATCTATCTCCTGTGCTGGATGCTCCCTGCCCTTGAACATCGGACTCTGAGTTCTTCTGCTTTGTTACTTTTGGACTTTTGGCCACATATTGAAGGCTGCACTGTCTGCTTCCCTATTTTTTGAGGTTTCTGGGACTCAGACTGGCTCTCTAGCTCATCAGCTTGCGGATGGCCTATTGTGGGACCTCACCTTGTGATCACCTATGTCAATACTCTTTAATAAACTCTCCTTTATATACGCATCTATACTATTAGTTCTGTCCCTCTAGAGAACGCTGACTAATGTACTGATGTTTAGAATTTTCTCTATTTACTCCATGTGATTTGTTGACAACAAGCAAAGAATATCCCACAGTCATAGTTAGTGCTCTGAGAGTTTGAGTTAGGAGCCCTGAACTTTTGGACTCGGTGAGGTAGAAGAGATAACACTACTGAGCAAGTAGAGAGAGAGAGGCGAGGCTGTGGGTGAATTATTTCATGAGAGAATAGTTTACATAAAAGGAAAAATGGAGGAATCAGACCTTACCCTTAACATGGCAGAAAAAAATGGTCAGTGAATTATTTTTTATTTTTAAGAACTGAGTGTGCAGAACTTAAGAGTTGGCAGATGTCTGATTCTGTATTTTTGAGGAAGAAGTGCCATTAATTGATAACAGTACTTTTAAGTATCACAAAGCAGCATATATTAATTGCTAAATGAGTGGTTATCTGAAAACCTTCCTCTGAATTTGGAAGAAAGTGAAATGAATAATGACTACTGCATCATGCATGGACTCCCTGAGATATGATTATTTTAAACTAGACATTAAAGAGCACACTTTGGTCATATAGAGCAATCTAGAAGGACATCCCAGCTGAGGATAAAAGAATTTACAGAATTTTTCTGTCTCTACCTTAACTGACTATATAGATATTTTTCCATTATCTGTTTAGAAATTTTTAAAAAATCAATGCTGGTTTGCATACCATTAAGTCAATTAGAAATTACTCATTGCTATTCAATTATTTTATAAATATTGGAAAGTGCCTATTGTATATTAACCATCATGATAAGATATGAGTTGGTTTAAAAAATGAATAAAAAAAAGTCCCTCCCATTGAGAGGCTTATGGTATAATGGATATCATGAAAAATCAAACAAAAGATTGCATTATATTAAAAATGGTTATAATGGAGGAGTGGAATAAATAGTATTGCAGCAGAGAAAGTGTTTACCGGCCGGGCGCGGTGGCTCACGCCTGTAATCCCAGCACTTTGGGAGGCCGAGGCGGGTGGATCATGAGGTCAGGAGATCGAGACCATCCTGGCTAACAAGGTGAAACCCCGTCTCTACTAAAAATACAAAAAATTAGCCGGGCGCGGTGGCGGGCGCCTGTAGTCCCAGCTACTCGGGAGGCTGAGGCAGGAGAATGGCGTGAACCCGGGAAGCGGAGCTTGCAGTGAGCCGAGATCGCGCCACTGCAGTCCGCAGTCCGGCCTGGGCGACAGAGCGAGACTCCGTCTCAAAAAAAAAAAAAAAAAAAAAAAAAAAAAGTGTTTACCAACAGATTTGGAGAAAGGCTAAAACAAGAGCTGAGGCCATCTCTGTAGTTTACTGCTAAAATGCAGGACACTGCACAGTACTGGGCACCTAGTAGGAGTTCAGACCTAATTAATGAACTGAATGAATAAATACTTGAATAATTACTAAACAGAAGAGTTGAAACTGAAAAAAAATCTTCATGTATTTGTCTTAGTACATAAGAGGCATAGGGTGAGAGTCTGTGAAAGAAGCTTTCTGTCAAGTGAATAAGGCATTCATGTAAAAAAAAATTAAAATGGAGAAACTTGATGTATTTAGAGAATAGCATTCTGGCAATATGCTACAGTGAGAGGGCATATTTTTTAATTGAAAAGTGGAGGAAATTTAGCTGAGGCATTATTAAATGCAGAGGCAAGATCACCATGGGTCCTGTTAACTATGATTTGCATTTAGATTTTTGCTTTTCTTGAAGGCTGAGAAGAACCAGTGAAAGAGTTTTAAGTGCTAAAGTGACATAATCATACTTTGAATTCCCAATGGTCCCTTTGACAGCAATGGGAGAGTCAATGGGAAGTTTTCAAACCTGGAAGCAAAGAGCTCGGAACAGTAATGATATAGACTAATAATGAAAGTTGAATGATCAATGACAAAGACCATGTAAAAGAGGGAAGATGAGTTTGAGTTCATTTTATCATGGGGGATGAGACAGGGCTGTGATAATTATGGATTTGTGACTGGGGCCTGGGCAGAGGGTTTGTCTTTACTCAGAGGACAAAAACCAGGATTGAAATATTGGGGTGGAAGGTAGTTTTATTTTGAAGATAATGATTTACAGGTGGGACCTCACCTTGTGGTGCTTGTGGATATCCAAGTGACTGTGCAGTGTAATGCCAAAGTTATGAATTTGGAAGTCTATAGACAGACCATGGTGGAATTATATATGTATACTATCAGTGTATAGTGGAAGTATTGAGCTGGGATAGAATCTTCTGGGTTACTATGTAACTGAGAAGAGTTACAAAAAACAGAATGCAGCAGACTGTAGTTTAAAAATATCAACTTTTTAGGGTGAACACAAATCCATAAAAAATATTGACAATAATTTGAGTATGATTATGAAAATCAATGAGAGATAATATGAAACTAAGAGATAAAGAGGACAACTGTGTTGAATGACACAAGAGTGTCAAGAAAAATAAGTTATAAAAATTATTAATTATATTTGAATGTATTTCAAATTAGAGTTGGTGAAGTATTTTTTTTTTAATTCCTAAATGCAAACCAACAAGTTATGCTATCTAATGTGAGAAGCTTGTCCAAAAAGGAAGAAAGGAAGAAAAGAAGTAAAGGGTAAGGAGAAAAAAGAATTAAATAAACAAGGGTTTATTACCGAGTAAACAGTCATGTTTTTATTTATGTCATAGTATAACCAAATACCCATACATATAGACCTACACACACACATAAGGTTTCAAGAAGGTGATAAATTGAATTTGGTATGTTTTCTTGTTGTGACTTTAAGTTTATGCTTAATCTTATTATTTCAAAATGTAATTCTGACATAGATTAGCTATTATAAACAGAATTGGCATTAAACCAAAAAGTAACGTTTTCAATTTCTAATAATAGAAGTGACTAGAGTACACTAAATTTAATTTTAAGGCATTAACTAAACACAGACACACACATATATATATACACACACACACACACACACTGCATAATAGATGATTAACTATAATTGTTTTCCTGAAGAAAATATATATTGATATTAGAATTAAAGACCGCCAGGAGTAAAATGCTGCTGCCAATATTAGCAATAATAAATTGTAATAAACTCATCATTGAAGACTTTTCATGATTAGAATGTACATAAAAACAGATTAGGATGTTTTTCAAAAAATAAGCATTAGGGATTAACATTAGTGATAATTATCACTTCTGTGTGATAGTTTGTATTTGATAAATACTGGATGATTGACATCTCAAAGATACATGTGCATAACTTTGATATATATACATATAATGTCAAAAAAGTATTAAAGTATACATTTTTACTAGTTTTGAATACTAAGAAAGTATTCAAAAATATTCTACCAAGTGTTTAACAAGGCTAGCAAACATATTTTTACCATTTTTCTCATCCTTTCATTTCTTCCCCCTATACTTTACTAAGCCTTAGGTCAAGCTATCAGGACTCAATAATGTGCTGTAGCGGAAATGTTGTCTTGTATACATAGTGAACCTAAAGTAACACATTGTTTTTCAAGATGAAACTGATTAAAATAAAATTAAAAAGGAAATTCATACTTTGAATTTCTCGACCTTTTGTAAATACTAAAAAGGACAAAACCAAGTTATGAGCAAATATGAGGTAAAAGAGAAAGGAATAAGAACAAAATCTCAAAGCTCTGGAAGACATACATTCTGTTTTAAAATACTAAAAAGAAGAAAGCTGGGCGTGGTGGCTCACGCCTGTAATCCCAGCACTTCGGGAGGCTGAGGTGGGAGGATCACAAGGTAAGGGGTTCAAGACCAGCCTGATCAACATGGTGAAACCCTGTGTCTACTAAAAATACAAAAATTAGCCAGGCATGGTGGTGCACACCTGTAATCCCAGCTACTCAGGAGGCTGAGGCAGGAGAACTGCTTGAACCCAGGAAGCAGAGGTTGCAGTGAACCGAGACTGCACCACTGCACTCCAGCCTGGGCAACAGAGTGAGACTCTGCCTCAGAAAAAAAAAAAAAAAAAAAAAAAAGAAGAAGGAAAAAAGAAATAAGTTGGTTGTAATACCTCCTACTTAGGATTAACTTTATTCTTAGGTTGTACATTCTAATTACATGAAGGCTTCAAAGATGAATCCATCACTTCTTATCTTATTTTGTATTGGCAGACATATTCAACTCCTAGGACTATTTCCTTCTCACATCAATTGAACTAAATCAATTAAGTCATCCTTACCTAACCTAATTAATGTGATAGCACAAGCAGAAAGCAAACTATTGCTTTTGAGTTTAGTTTTTAAAATGTCCTTCATAGTGAATAACATTATTAATGGAAATGGAAGAACATATTTAAAATAACAAAACGAAACAAAATAAAAATATGATTTAACAGATTAAACATGGAATGTATTTTCCTACTTAGTAGAAATCTGATGGAATAAAATGTTTCCCCTTCTTCACTTACAACATAATCCCTCTATTTTTAAGTTTAGTAAATCCTTTGCAAATGTGCAGAGTGAACATTTTCTCTGAATAACCCCTTCTGAAACCTTACTGTTTAGTCCAGATAGATGTGGATATAGGAGGGCCCTAGATAGATGCTTCTAAGTGATCAGTGATTGTCTTCTCATGTTGGTATGTAGAATTTTATCGCTTGTTTCTGGTGTATTGAAGTCATAACATTTATAGGCCTGAATCATATCAATTTTTTTCCCAAAACACATTGTCTGTCAAGGTTTCAGATATGTATCTATACATCCGTTCTTTGTACCACAGTATTATTTGGCCTTGAAATTAGAAAGGCCAAAATAACCAAAATATCTACCGATTCTTCCTGCCTCCAGAGATGTAAAAATACACAGACATCAACACAGCTGCACTTAACACAATTCATGGTTTTGTCTAGGTAAAGGATCATAATCTTTGTAGATTCTTTAGTGGTGGATTGTCCTATTTCACTCAGTCTGTGGATTCAAGCTCTGACGAGAGTGCCTCCTCCACACCGCTCAGTTGTTTGTAGTATAAGAATGCAAAACAGGCCGGGCGTGGTGACTCACGCCTGTAATCTCAGCACTTGGGGAGGCCGAGGCGGGCGGATCACCTTAGGTCAGGAGTTTGAGACCGTCCTAGCCAACATGGTGAAACCACATCTCTACTAAAAATACCAAAAAAAAAATAGCCGGACCTGGTGGTGGGCGCCTGTAATCTCAGCTACTTGGGAGGCTGAGACAGAGGATCGCTAAAACCTGGGAGGTGGAGGGTGCAGCCATCTAAGATCACACCATTGCACACCAGCCTGGGTGACAAGAGCGAAACTCTGTCTCAAAAAAAAAAAAAAAAAAAAAGCAAAACAAAGGTTTATTGGATAGCTGGACTAGTGTCTGGGAAAAAGAAAAAGATGGAAGTGCAGTTTCTCCCCTTATCAAATTATGATTCTGGAGGAAAAAAGGCAAGTAAACGAGAGAATGAATGGAGAGCATTGACTGGATGCCTACACTGAAATCAGGAAGGCTTTCTGACAAGGACAACATCTGAGCATGGATTTGAAGAGTCATTTGGCATGTACCAGGCAAGGGATGGAGTGAAAGGACATTGTGGGGGTTGCTGGAAACATTTCAGAGCATAGAAATTTGAACAGGGATGGCTTGAGAAATCCCAAATACAACTCCACTATCTCCTATCTTATAATCCTTATCTCAATCCTAATAAATCTAAAATTAAAGTTTTTATTGTACCACCCATAGTTCTTCTCACACTTTCCCATATTAGATAATGGACCCATCATCACCTTTCAAGCAAAAATATGAGGGGGAGTCAGTTTCAATTTTTCCTTTTCTCTCATCCCTCAGGATCAATGCATCACCAACTTCATGTTTCTGCCTCCAAAATATGTCTAGTATCTGTCCTCATTTTTCTGTTCTCCCAGCTATCCATCTAAGCCAGGACATATTAATTATTTAATTTAATAACTGCTATTTCCTTCTGTCTGGTCTCCATGCTTCTACTTTTATTCATCTACAAATTATATTCTACATGGCAGCAAGAGTAATTTCCTAAAAACATATATTTGATAAGGTCATGCTCCGTGTAAAACACTTAAATGACCATATATTACAGCGCAGTTAAAATATAAACTCTTTACATTAATATACAACTTCTTAACTTCAAATCATTCATGCCACTCCCCAATTTATTATTTTTCAGCTGTATTATCCTTGGCTTTTCTCTATTAGACCACCAAGCCTTAGAATTTTGCACTTGTCACTCCACCCTGAGTCACACACAGTGCTTACATTGGGGATGATGTAGTCCTTCTTTGATATATTGTTAAAAGTTTCTTCTACAGATCCACATAACTATTCTATACATGTATTTGGTATGTATCTAATGTTAAATTCAACCTACGTGAGGGCTAGTCAAAATCAGCCTAGATTAACACTATATCCCTAGTACCTGCCATCATACTGCCAACTTAACATGTATTTGTTAAGTGAATGAAAATTAAACTTTCTAAAATCTTTATTCCATGTTCATTTTTCCCTTAAAAACTATATGGTAGTGTTGGTGAACTCACTGGTTGGCTAGTTTTGCTATAGGAAAGTCACGATTTGCATTAAGAAAATTATTGTAACAGCCCAGGAAGGGCTTTCTGTTTCCATAGCAGGGAGATACCCATCACCTCACTTGATATAAAGCCTGACATCAGGCAGATAAGGACCTTAAATTAACTAGTGGAAGAAGAGACAGCTGATGAAAGAGACTGATTTTAGGGATGGAAGTACGTATTCAGGTACCTTTATGGCTAACTCCTTTTGTTTCCATGCCATAGTAGACAGGAAAAGATTTTCTTGCTCTTAATTTTTTTTCCTGCTAGTCTCTACAGTACACACTGAAACTTGTTCTGTTGGTAGAGAGGAAGTGTTTTGATATGGGTGAAAGGAAATGCAAACAGTTACAGAGCTCATATCCTACATAAGTATAAGTCTAATGACTCGTTTTGTTATTAATTAAAGATTAAAGACTAAGGTAAGGAACAATCTGATTTACAAGAAGAGACACCAACATAAAATATTTAGGACTAGAGTCCTAGCTAGTAAGAGAACTGTATATTGAACCACCATATCCATCATTTATATATATATATATATATATATATATAACCTCAAACTCTCTGTAAGTCTTCATGGCCATAGTCAAAATCAATTTTTTAAATTTTTTTCCCTTATAACACAGGTTTGAAGATTTTTTATTGATATAATAAACACCACTAGAAATAAGAAAATGTTAAGAAACTCCTCGATATTCAGAAAAGCACTCAATTTGGAACAGTCTTAGGTATAGAACAGTTTGCTAAAAATGATGATTTGAAAAGACACTAGTTTGAAAATATTCTGACTTGAAGAATTTGACCTTTAACTAATAGGTAGCGCAATCACTGTATATGAGAACTCATCTTTGACACAAACGTGGCTGACTATATGCAACCGAGGCAATGCTGCTGTTTTGCTAAATATTTTACCATGAAAATGTCTTATTATAAGTTGATCTGAAAAGATTTCCTGAGAAGGTTTCTTTGTTTTCTGATTTGTATTGTTTCTGTTTTTGTTGGCAGGGTGGGTGACTGAGTGTTAATGACTCGTGAAGGAAGGCAGGAAATTAAAATATAGGAAATGGCAAGGTATTGGAGGGTATAGTCAAAGAAAAAAATAATGGAAAATCTTGGAAAGGGCAAAAAGAAAATCATGAACTTTGAGAGGAAAAGAAATTAGGCTTTCAGAATGAATATCTTGTAGTTAGGCATTCAGGCCAGGGGCTGCCTTAGACGATGTCTCAAATTTGTGTCATTTCAATGCTTGTGGTTGCAGAGAATTTTGCTATGTAGACTTATCCACAGCTTTAGTAGGACACATTGATTTGTAGTTATTGTGATTTGTATTCAAAGCAGGTTTTCAACGCAATCCTCATAACTGCAGTAAAGGTTGCTAAGTCAGAATGTTTCATCTTAATGAATAATTTATGTAACACTAAGTCACATGTTAAACTGTAAGAAGTACTATTGTCGGTGAACACTTTGGAATGTGAATCTAGTTTTAAATTTCTACTTGCTTCAGTTGAAGAGAAAAAAAATATGAGTTTGGTTTATTTTCAAGGAAATCAGAAAGCTCTTGAAAAAGATAAAGCGACTCCCATGACAAGTGCAGAGGATTCCATTTTACAGTTTCACATCTAAAAGAAACAAAATACTAATTGATAAACCAAGATTTAAAACCTGCATTAAATCTAAAAAATTACATAAAATACCTGCAGAGTGCAGAGGACTATTTAAAACTAGGCCAGACTAATAAATGTAATTTGAGGATAAATTAGACTTTCCAGATTCCCTTTGGTCTCAAACCAGGATATTGCAATCTACTCAAACAAAACTGTTGAACAGCCAAGGGTCTTGCTATTACTAGGCTTTTCAGCAGAAAAGGAAGCTCTCTATTTATCAGTGTCCATTTCCCTATTAGAGTAAAGCACTATATTTTCTTCTTCCATCCCTTGTTCAAATATTCCAGTCATCTCAAGGTTTTATAGAAATAAAATGCAACCACATATGTCAGCAATATTAGGAATATCTGATATACACAGTTAACTTTCACTGCTGGCAAAGTAAGTGCACAATAAATATTTACCAACATGCATGTATATATTTAGACATATACACAATAAATGTAGCATTCCTCCCAATGCAGAGTGATTAGAAAAATAATTTTAAAAAGCTAACATATGTGGGGTGCTTACCAGTAACTTTAATGGTGAAATTATTTTATTCCCATAACCCAATGTGAGCTGTATGACAGTATACTGAAAAGCATGTATGACAACATGACAAATTATAACACTGTGATTTACGAATATTGGGTAACATGCCTCAGGCTATGCTGTTTGTAAATATCAGAGCAGGAATATCACCAAGGTCTAATCAAGAGCCTATGGTTCTAACCATTTCCCTGTGTGTTGTCAATCCTAAAAAGAAATGGAAGAAGCAAATAAAAATGACTCCAAAATACCCTCTATTGCTCTTGACTGTTGACAGATTGAAAGGCCCAAGGCCTGCTATTAGATTCTCATTAGAATAGACGTTATTAGTTTTTATGGAACCCTGGACTTCTTACAGCCTTGCTTATTTTCACTGAAGATTGGGTAAACTTTTTTTTTAAATTTTATTATTATTATACTTTAAGTTTTAGGGTACATGTGCACAACGTGCAGGTTTGTTACATATGTATACATGTGCCATGTTGGTGTGCTGCACCCATTAACTGGTCATTTAGCATTAGGTATATCTCCTAATGCTATCACTCCCCCCTCCCCCCACCCCACAACAGTCTCCAGTGTGTGATGTTCCCCTTCCTGTGTCCATGTGATCTCATTGTTCAATTCCCACCAATGAGTGAGAACATGCGGTGTTTGGTTTTTTGTCCTTGCGATAGTTTGCTGAGAATGATGGTTTCCAGTTTCATCCATGTCCCTACAAAGGACATGAACTCATCATTTTTTATGGCTGCATAGTATTCCATGGTGTATATGTGCCATATTTTCTTAATCCAGTCTATCGTTGTTGGACATTTAGGTTGGTTCCAAGTCTTTGCTATTGTGAATAGTGCCGCAATAAACATACATGTGCATGCGCCTTTATAGCAGCATGATTTATAATCCTTTGGGTATATACCCAGTAATGGGATGGCTGGGTCAAATGGTATTTCTAGTTCTAGATCCCTGAGGAATCGCCACACTGACTTCCACAAGGGTTGAACTAGTTTACAGTCCCAGCAACAGTGTAAAACTGTTCCTATTTCTCCACATCCTCTCCAGCACCTGTTGTTTCCTGACTTTTTAATAATCGCCATTCTAACTGGTATGAGATGGTATCTCATTGTGGTTTTGATTTGCATTTCTCTGATGGCCAGTGATGATGAGCATTTTTTCATGTGTTTTTTGGCTGCATAAATGTCCTATTTTGAGAAGTGTCTGTTCATATCCTTTGCCTACTTGTTGATGGGGTTGTTTGTTTTTTCTTGTAAATTAGTTTGAGTTCATTGTAGATTCTGGATATTAGCCCTTTGTCAGATGAGTAGGTTGCAAAAATTTCCTCCCATTTTGTAGGTTGCCTGTTCACTCTGATGGTAGTTTCTTTTGCTGTGCAGAAGCTCTTTGGTTGAATTAGATCCCATTTGTCAATTTTGGCTTTTGTTGCCATTGCTTTTGGTGTTTTAGACGTGAAGTCCTTGCCCGGTATTGCCTAGGTTTTCTTCTAGGGTTTTTATGGTTTTAGGTCTAACATTTAAGTCTTTAATCCATCTTGAATTAATTTTTGTATAAGGTGTAAGGAAGAGAACCAGTTTCAGCTTTCTACATATGGCTAGCCAGTTTTCCCAGCACCATTTATTAAATAGGGAATCCTTTCCCCATTGCTTGTTTTTCTCAGGTTTGTCAAAGATCAGATAGTTGTAGATATGTGGCTCTGTTCTCTTCCATTGGTCTATATCTCTGTTTTGGTACCAGTACCATGCTGTTTTCGTTACTGTAGCCTTGTAGTATAGTTTGAAGTCAGGTAGCATGATTCCTCCAGCTTTGTTCTTTTGGCTTAGGATTGACTTGGTGACATGGGCTCTTTTTTGGTTCCATAAGAACTTAAAAGTATTTTTTTCCGATTCTGTGAAGAAAGTCATTGTTAGCTTGATGGGGATTGCATTGAATCTCTAAATTACCTTGGGCAGTATGGCCATTTTCACGATATTGATTCTTCCTACCCATGAGCATGGAATGTTCTTCCATTTGTTTGTATCCTCTTTTATTTCATTGAGCAGTGGTTTGTAGTTCCCCTTGAAGAGGTCCTTCACATCCCTTGTAAGTTGGATTCCTAGGTATTTTATTCTCTTTGAAGCAATTGTGAATGGGAGTTCACTCATGATTTGGCTCTCTGTTTGTCTGTTATTGGTGTATAAGAATGCTTGTGATTTTTGTACATTGATTTTGTATCCTGAGACTTTGCTGAAGTTGCTTATCAGCTTGAGGAGATTTTAGGCTGAGACGATGGGGTTTTCTAGATATACAATCATGTCATCTGCAAACAGGGACAATTTGACTTCCTTTTTTCCTAATTGAATGCCCTTTATTTCCTTCTCCTGGCTGATTGCCCTGGCCAGAACTTCCAACACTATGTTGAATAGGAGTGGTGAGAAAGGGCATCCCTGTCTTGTGCCAGTTTTCAAAGGGAATGCTTCCAGTTTTTGCCCATTCAGTATGATATTGGCTGTGAGTTTGTCATAGATGGCTCTTATTATTTTGAGATATGTCCCATCAATACCAAATTGATTGAGAGTTTTTAGCATGAAGTGTTGTTGAATTTTGTCAAAGGCCTCTTCTGCATCTGTTGAGATAATCATGTGGTTTTTGTCTTTGGTTCTGTTTATATGCTGGATTACATTTATTGATTTGCATATGTTGAACCAGCCTTGCATCCCAGGGATGAAGCCCACTTGATCGTGGTGGATAAGCTTTTTGATGTGCTGCTGGATTCAGTTTGCCAGTATTTTATTGAGGATTTTTGCATCAATGTACATCAAGGATATTGGTCTAAAATTCTCTTTTTTTGTTGTGTCTCTGCCAGGCTTTGGAATCAGGATGATGCTGGCCTCATAAAATGAGTTAGGGAGGATTCCTTCTTTTCTATTGATTGGAATAGTTTCAGAAGGAATGGTACCAGCTCCTCTTTGTACCTCTGGTAGAAATCGGCTGTGAATCCATCCGGTCCTGGACTTTTTTTGGTTGGTAAGCTATTGATTATTGCCTCAATTTCAGAGCCTGTTATTGGTCTATTCAGAGATTCAACTTCTTCCTGGTTTAGTCTTGGGAGGATGTATGTGTCGAGGAATTTATCCATTTCTTCTAGATTTTCTAGTTTATTTGCGTAGAGGTGTTTATAGTATTCTCTGATGGTAATTTGTAATTCTGTGGGATCGGTGGTGATATCCCCTTTATCATTTTTTATTGTGTCTATTTGATTCTTCTCTCTTTTCTTCTTTATTAGTCTTGCTAGTGGTCTATCAATTTTGTTGATCTTTTCAAAAAACCAGCTCCTGGATTCATTAATTTTTTGAAGGGTTTTTTGTGTCTCTATTTCCTTCAGTTCTGCTCTGATCTTAGTTATTTCTTGCCTTCTGCTAGGTTTTGAATGTGTTTGCTCTTGCTTTTCTAGTTCTTTTAATTGTGATGTTAGGGTGTCAATTTTAGATCTTTCCTGCTTTCTCTTGTGGGCATTTAGTGCTATAAATTTCCCTCTACCACTGCTGTGAATGTGTCCCAGAGATTCTGGTATGTTATGTCTTTGTTCTCGTTGGTTTCAAAGAACATCTTTATTTCTGCCTTCATTTCCTTATTTACCCAGTAGTCATTCAGGAGCAGGTTGTTCAGTTTCCATGTAGTTGAGTGGTTTTGAGGGAGTTTCTTAATCCTAAGTTCTAGTTTGATTGCACTGTGGTCTGAGAGATAGTTTGTTACAATTTCTGTTCTTTTACATTTGCTGAGGAGCGCTTTACTTCCAACTATGTGGTCAATTTTGGAATAGGTGTGGTGTGGTGCTGAAAAAAATGTATATTCTGTTGATTTGGGGTGGAGAGTGCTGTAGATGTCTATTAGGTCTGCTTGGTGCAGAGCTGAGTTCAATTCCTGGGTATCCTTGTTAACTTTCTGTCTCATTGATCTGTCTAATGTTGACAGTGGGGTGTTAAAGTCTCCCATTATTATTGTGTGGGAGTCTAAGTCTCTTTGTAGGTCACTCAGGACTTGCTTTATGAATCTGGGTGCTCCTGTATTGGGTGCATATATATTTAGGACAGTTAGCTCTTCTTGTTGAATTGATCCCTTTACCATTATGTAATGGCCTTATTTGTCTCTTTTGATCTTTGTTGGTTTAAAGTCTGTTTTATCAGAGACTAGGATTGCAACCTCTGCCGTTTTTTGTTTTCCATTTGCTTGGTAGATCTTCCTCCATCCCTTTATTTTGAGCCTATATGTGTCTCTGCACGTGAAATGGGTCTCCTGAATACAGCACACTGATGGGTCTTGACTCTTTATCCAATTTGCCAGTCTGTGTCTTTTAATTGGAGCATTTAGCCCATTTACATTTAAGGTTAATATTGTTATGTGTGAATTTGATCCTGTCATTATGATGTTAGCTGGTTATTTTGCTCGTTAGTTGGTGCAGTTTCTTCCTAGCCTCGATGGTCTTTACAATTTGGCATGATTTTGTAGTGGCTGGTACCGGTTGTTTCTTTCCATGTTTAGTGCTTCCTTCAGGAGCTCTTTTAGGGCAGGCCTGATGGTGACAAAATCTCTCAGCATTTGCTTGTCTCTAAAGTATTTTACTTCTCCTTCACTTATGAAGCTTAGTTTGGCTGGATATGGGATTCTGGGTTGAAAATTCTTTTCTTTAAGAATGTTGAATATTGGTCCCCACTCTCTTCTGACTTGTAGAGTTTCTGCTGAGAGATCAGCTGTTAGTCTGATGGGCTTCCCTTTGTGGGTAACCCGACCTTTCTCTCTGGCTGCCCTTAACATTTTTTCCTTCATTTCAATTTTGGTGAATCTGAAAATTATGTGTCTTGGAGTTGCTCTTCTCGAGGAGTATCTTTGTGGCATTCTCTTTATTTCCTGAATTTGAATGTGGCCTGCCTTGCTAGATTTGGGAAGTTCTCCTGGATAATATCCTGCAGAGTGTTTTCCAACTTGGTTCCATTCTCCCCGTCACTTTCAGGTACACCAATCAGATGTAGATTTGGTCTTTTTACATAGTCCCATATTTCTTGGAGGCTTTGTCCGTTTCTTTTTATTCTTTTTTCTCTAAACTTCTCTTCTCATTTCATTTCATTCATTTCGTCTTCCATCACTGATACCCTTTCTTCCAGTTGATCGCATTGGCTACTGAGGCTTCTGCATTAATCATGTCACTCTCATGCCTTGGTTTTCAGCTCCTTCAGGTCCTTTAAGGGCTTCTCTGCATTGGTTTTTCTAGTTATCCATTCATCTAATTTTTTTTTCAAAGCTTTTAACTTCTTTGTCATTGGTTCGAATTTCCTCCTGTAGCTTGGAGTAGTTTGATCGTCTGAAGCCTTCTTCTCTCAACTCGTCAAAGTCATTCTCTGTCTAGCTTTGTTCCGTTGCTGGTGAGGAGCTGCGTTCCTTTGGAGGAGGAGAGGCACTCTGCTTTTTAGAGTTTCCAGTTTTTCTGCTCTGTTTTTTTCCCATCTTTGTGGTTTTATCTACCTTTGGTCTTTGATGATGGTGATGTACAGATGGTTTTTTGGTGTGGATGTCCTTTCTGTTTGTTAGTTTTCCTTCTAACAGACAGGACCCTCAGCTGCAGGTCTGTTGGAGTTTGCTAGAGCTCCATTCCAGACCCTGTTTGCCTGGGTATCAGCAGCAGTGGCTGCAGAACAGTTGATATTGGTGAACCACAGATGCTGCT